>NC_000004.12:88618350-88769865 GCF_000001405.40 Homo sapiens | reverse complement strand
CATTATTCTATACTTTTGTTTTTTGGTTTTTTTTTTGAGACAGAGTCTCGCTCTGTCGCCAGGCTGGAGTGCAGTGGTGCATCTTGGCTCACTGCAACCTCCACCTCCCAGGTTCAAGCAATTCTCCTGCCTCAGCCTCCCAAGTAGCTGGGACTACAGGCACGTGCCACCACACCCAGCTAATTTTTGTATTTTTAGTAGAGATGGGGTTTCACTATGTTGGTCAGGATGGTCTCGATCTCTTGACCTCGTGATCTGCCCGCCTCAGCCTCCCAAAGTGCTGGGATTACAGGTGTGAGCCACCACGCCCATCATTATTCTAGTACTTTACATATCATTTTATTTAATCCTCATGACCACCCTATGTTAGACCATATTGTTGCCATCTTCATTTTCCAGATGAGGAAATTAAGGCTCAAGTAGGGTCATATAATTGGCAAATGGTGGAACTGGAATTCTAACCCAAGTATTCTGATTCAGAGCCACTGTCATAACTACTATGTTATATTATCTCCCTTTGTTTCTATTCTTTAATGGAGCCCAGGGTGTCAAACTGAGAATTCCAGGCAAATTGGCAAAACCAACATAAATGGAAAATAATTCAGCTGTCTATGAAGCCAAAGATTAGTTTTCTCCTCTATGTGTTTATTTTGTGGAGATTGTTGTAAATGCCAACTTCATGGGATTATTGTGAACCTTAGATTTACTTAGTAAAGGGTTTTATTATAATGGGATGTTATTGATAGGTAGATGAACATATGTTACTTTCATATATGTATAATTTACTTTGATGACACAGGATGAGTGGATTATGCTTAATATCCTTTTAATGCAGATATAAATCTGAGTTCAACAAAATTCAGGTCCAAATTTCCAAGGCAGCTATGTTTTTGAGTTTGCTGAATTCAGATATTCTCATTTGCTTATTTGTAATCTCCCTTCAAGGAAATGGCTTACTTATTCTGTGGCAGTCACCTGAATGATATTTAGAAAGCATTGGCCATATTCACAGAGGCAGTCAAAGATATCTTACATATATGCCTCCTGGTAAGCATTAACCCCACCTGGTCAGCCGAAAATACATACTATTCAAATTAGGTTTTCTGTCTTTACTTTTTCCATCTTGGCTAATATAAAGATTAACATTAAATATTGTAAAAAGAAAGGTTCTTAAATTTTCATTTCTGTTTATAGATATTTTACAGCTTAGGTATAAGCTACATGTTACTCTAGATAATATTGGAAGTATACACTGAGTATGTATATGTGTGTGTGCATATATATGTATATACATATATACACATATAATGTGTATACTCCGCCTTCAATCTTATCAATGTACACTGAATATACATAAATGTGTGTGTGCATATGTATATATACGTTCTTATATAGATAGATAGATAGAGAGAGAGTAAATGGTACATCAGTTTCTGATGAGATTCGATGTCAGATTCCTCAATTCTAAGTCTGACCCACCCTGATTCTCTAACAATCTGGGTTTTGCTATTTAGCTTTCCAATGTGGATAATACCTAAGGGAGACATTATAGGGCACAATGGCCATTTCTGTGATGCTGTCACATATGTTTGTTAAAAGGATGTTAGAAGTTCAATACACAATTCTATGCAAGCAGGATATAATAAACTGTCATAATTTTACTAGTTTAAACAAAGATAAAAATATGAGGACTAGAATTAGTTTATATATACATATTATTTGATTTTTCTATTTTAAAGAAAGGAGGGTCTGCGTTGCATATTTCTTACCATTCCTATTAGGCAACCAATAATGGTTCTGTTACAGAATATGGAAAGTCTCAATTCCACACGATCTCATGAGAGAACTGGACCTGATGATTTTGAATGGATGTCTGATGAAAGGTAATTTTAGAATTGTCTCCTAATATTCTTTCCAAGGGCAGGAAAAGGTTATTTTCATGTAATGCAATGTGAATTATAAGAACTAAAAAGAATGGAATTAAAGGACTATATATTTACCAGCAATATTTTATAGCAAGGAAAATGCTTAGAATAGAAAATCTATCACAGTGCTATTGAAGGCAAATAACTATAGTCATGTTTATTTGTGTTTCCAGTTTGCTTTGTTTTGATTAATTTTTTGTTTTGTGTTTTGTTTTTGAATTTTATAAGTATTTGGCTTAGAGCTACTCAACATACTCTTAAATTAAATCATAATATCAGTGGATGAAAAACGTTATAAAACAAGTAGATATTTTATGATTTTTTTGTTGTTGCCATTATTTATAGGAAAGGAAATGAAAAAGATGGTGGACACACTCAGCATTTTGAGGTGAGTAGCTAACAAGCAAGAGTAAGACTGTGACGGGGCTGTTCATACACTCTTGAGTGTACTTCTGAAATATTAGTCTGCCAATAAGGGACATTGAGATAAGTAATATAACTGTGATTGATTAGAAAGGCAAATACCAAACTTAAAGATTCCTTGAGAAATCATAAGAGCTCCATTATTTTCCTTTGTGAATTATTTTGTTTTGCTTATGATGATAAACTTTAATAGCATAGGGATTTCTCTTTAGATTTTCTATAAAGTAAAACAAAACAAAAAGCCAAAGCTACTGGTTTTATTTTCCACAATTTGATGCATTTTTTAAGTGATTGAAATATATAGGTAGTGAGTCTTAGTCACAAGGATTAGGTCATGAATCTTCAAATTAACAAAAATTCACTTTGAGTTACTTTAATCCAATTTGTTTGCTGAGTTTTGTCTCTCATCTTAAATAAACATTGGAGAAGAAAAGTCTCTCACCTCCCTTATGTCATCTGTATCTTCAAGTTTCATTTACTTTCCTGACCTCCCACTTGTCCTCTCAGGCATCACCATGCTGACCCAAGTATTTGGTTTCCCTTGCTCCCAAGTCCAGCTTCCATTCAGTGTGCTGAGCATCATTTTTAATTCATGTATGTGTATGCAATCTGCTACCTCCAAATACTTCCAACTCCACCTTCAATCTTATCAGTTTTGCTTTTCAAGAATTAAAGTTTTTCTTAACCTACTCTTAAATTCTGACTCTTGATATAAAGAGAACGTTCCCTCTAACCCAATGATTCTTAGTCTCTGTTGGGCACTGACCTAATTCACTGATGGATTTATTCAACAACATATATTAAATCCTACTAGGAACAGGTACTGTGCTAGGAGCTGGGATTTAATGACAACCACAGTCTATTCCCCCATGGAGTTTTACAGCATAGCAGCTTAAAAATCAGAAAGCTACAGACCCTCTTAGAAAATTGTATTATCATTAAAAAATGTGCATAAAATTCCTAGAAACTAATCCCCACTCCCTGAACACACGCTAATGCTGTAGACTCCTCATATCTCCTGTATTCAATTCTTGTCCTATATATACTTCTTCACCAGATAATTTAGCCAGATAATAGGAGGGGAATGCTTCCTCTTTCTGACCTCACAGCTTCTGAGCCACTTTTTTCATCTATTTCCAACTCATTTTTGCCTCCTTCCTTGGAACCCAAGCAACAAGCTGACATTATTTCCTTGTCTCTAGGCATCCTTTTAAAGATCATGTTTCCCCATGATACTGTCAAGTTGTGTTTTGTTTTTTATGGTTTTATCCTTTCACTGCCATCTTCCTCTGCTCACAGCAAGCACCTACTCTTCTCCTATCTAACATGATTTTAAAGAAAATCGCTTTGCCAGTCTCCTGGAGAGGTCTCCTCAGTTCTTTCCTTTTATGCCTGTTTTCTTTTGTGAGATAAAAGGGAATAAAAGTAACTTTTGTGGATGGACTTCATACATTAACTCATAAATTCCAAGTAGCACACAAACTAAATGGCAAACTAAACTGAACTCAGTCTGCCTTGGTCTTTGGTGGACAGCTCCCAGGGCAGTGGATGAATCATTGGGAAACAATCTCACATCCTTCTTCCATGTGCCAAGTCCTCTTCTTCTGTGTGTTACTCATGTGCAGCCACCAATCGTGCCCAGTGCCACTGCTGGCACTGCTTAGGCGTTCACTAATAATAACATGATGGTTTCAGTTAGGACATAAAATTAGGTGGTGAACTAAAATCTAGACTAAGCTCTCCATGTCACCTTTCTACCACAGCTGCACCAAAGGAGAAAAATAAGACATCATTCCACAAGATTGGGATGATTTCTACTTGTGAAAGTATGTGCTTCTTTCACTGAAGGAAATTTATTTTGTTATTATCCATGACAGACAGTGAAAAGAACTGTTTTCCATTTTGTAAAGCTTTTTCCCTTGTTTCAGTGTGCTGTTAGTTATTACTTTTTAATATATGTAGTCCTTCCTAAAACTTACACCACCCAATATTTAATCTAGTTTTCTAGTAAAAACATCAATAATCTTTCATTTTCAGTGATGAAAAATAAGTCTATACTTTGGTTACTCCTCCTAGAGTTCTGTTTAACCAGTATATATTTTGTTTCAGGTCTCATTGCATAAGATTTTGAGACATCAGATTTTACATGCCCGCTATTGAATATATATTGTAATATTTCTAATTTTGTTTTCCGTTAAGACAGACTTCATCCTTATTGATATTTTCATTTAAAATTCTCCTTGTAAACTCTCAGATTCACATAAGATAACATAGCAAACAACAGCTCTTGGGGAAAGGTGATTTTTTTTTGGGAGGACTACTATTCCCGTTAGAATGAGGAACATTTGTTTTCAGCCTCAGAAATGCTCTTTAGAGACAGGCAGAGAGAGGCTTCTCTTAGATCTGCTGCTCAAAGGCAAATGAAGTTACAACTGTGACCCCAGTTTTTAAATAATCAGCTTGCAGCCTTTAATGTGTTTTGTTTGAAGGTATGTGTGGAAAGTGAACATGGGCTTATCCCTTTGTTTCATATCTTTTTAATTTATTTTAATTATGCAACTAATATTGTCCAAAACGAGATTCTCCTGAGATCTCAGATGGGCATTGGTCAATAATAGTTACCCATTTCTATTTCATGAGAGTTCCTTATGTGGTTTGGATTAAAATTTGTTTAGTGACACACTGGCAATGAGAAAAAAAGTCAAGAGTCACTTTGAAATGTCCAAAATTAAAGTACAATTTCTTCAGGAAGGTTCAGAAAGGCTGACATTTTAATAAAATATCCTATCTGGGCAATGTGAAATGAGATAACATAAGGAAGAGCCTAGCACACTGCTCCCTGGGCATGCAAAATCTAGAGTCTTTGTTCTTCTGTGTATTATTAACTCTTTTAACAAACTACAAGTATCCAGAAGAGAGGTCATCCTTAAAACTAGCAATTTCTAGATTCTAAAAGATATCCCTGAAATTACAGATTTTCAGAGTTCTGTTTCCAAGGGAGTTTATGCTTTATGCTTCAATTTAATCCCTATTTTCTATGATGAAAATATTTTATACTTCTCTATAAAACCCAGAATATTAAAACTAAAACCTTACAATGAATCTCTGTTGAGAAGTCAAAACAAGTAAGAATTATTAACTGCATGTGAGGGAATTACATTATCTGGGAGAGATCATTTTATGTCAGAATTACAAGGTCAGTGAAGTGTTAAGTTCTTTCAAAATATTTTTACATTCTTTATGCTTTCTAAGCCTACTGCTTAAGAGAGCTTAGAAGCATACCTTTGATAACAAACAAGACATTCATAATTTTAAAAAAAAAGACTAGTTCCATGTTTCTTATCCTGCTTCAAAAAAAAGGAAAAGAGAAGAGAGAAAGAAGGAGAGGAGACAAGGCTTTTCAATCAAGACTGAGAATTAATATTAGTTATCACAAGATATTAAGTGCAGGCTTTTATTTGCCCTGAAAAAGTGAATTTCTGAAAAGTATTTATAGAATGGATGACTGTTATTTTGACTTCACTGTTTTCATGGAAGCTTTAGGACTTTGTTTTAATATTATAACCAGAAAAATTAACAAGCTCTATTTACTTCAAATTCGCTTCCAAATCAATCCAATAGCCAAAGCCTAATGAAGCTTTGGAGTTCACATGGATTTTGAAAATTTATTTCCACTTTCCTTTATTGTCAGGCCAAACAAAAAATGTTTATGGTTCTCTGTAGTTCTTCGGTTAATATTGTAGTTTCTTCCTGTGCAAACTGCATTATACAGCATACTTTCTGATATTGTCATTCCTGGCTCTGATAAACTATTAGGCCACTTAACTATATCCTGTGCAGGGCAATGGAAGGAATAAAACAAAAATTCACCAACTATTTGAAGCCAGAGAAAGAGCAGTATCAAATAAAGTCTGGGGATAGAAAAAGGTAGGTCCAGCTGGACAGGGACAAGTCTTGGCAAAGATTAGACTGATAGCTTCATAATTAATGGCTCCTTGACCTGAATGTGAAATGTTACCTGAGGGCCCGGGAGAGATGAGCTCTCTTCATATTTGCCCCCTGGCATCCTACGTTTCTTTTATAACACACGTGATACTTGGCACTTGTATGTTCAGTATCTCTCTCCTGCACCAAATCCCTTATCTTGCTTACTACTAAATTCCAGTGCCAAGGACATATATGTGTTCAATGAACGCTTGCCAAATGTATGAATGAATGAATGAATGAATGAATGAATGAACGAATGGGAAAGGGAGGTAGGGTATAAATGGAAGTAGCATTGTTTATAGTTCCTATAGGCTGTTTTGTACACGTTTTTCATTTTAATCTTTACAAACCTTACAAAGTCTTGTTCCTGTATTCGAGGAAAAACAAAAAAGCTGAAGTTCAAAGAAATTTACTCACTGAAAGTCTTGGAGCTAGTAAAGCTAGTATCTAAACATGAGTCTCTGCCTCTAAAACCCATCCTAATATGCCATACTCTGTTGTCTCACCTAAGAGCCAAACACTAAATTTGTTTCAATACACAGATATTTGGTGTGTTTTCATATAGTGCAGCATTTTTGACAATGTTTAGTGTATGACATCACGGTACAAGGATCTTGGAGTTGAAAATTGTGAAATTAATTTACTTTGTGATTTAACAGAAGATATTAGACATGTAAACAACAAAAGTTGAAACCAAAAATATTTTTATATTTGAGAATGCTTTTGACATTTTAACCTTAATGATCTAGTAGGAGAAACAGATAATATTTGCACTACTATATGAAGAGCCCTGTTAGAGAGGATGGAGCAACTGGGCAAGGTGCTTCACCCAGACTAGGCTAACATTTGAAGGCACAGCAGTTTTTATGCTAGTGTTTATGGAGCCTAAAGAACTTCACCATGGGCCATAGGACATAGGACAGCCTCCCTGGCACCCACATGCACAAAAAACCATCAGCAGTCTGCAGCCCTAGGCAAGGCAACCCTGTCACATCATAGACCAGCAGGGCCAAAAGCTGGGACTTGTGCAAGTAAGAAAGCAACCCCAGGGATTGATGGGAGCACAGCAGGACAGGGCCAGCCTGTACGTGCATCTCTACATGCAGTTAGGGTGTGCTGTGCTTAGTGTGTCCAGGATTGTGCCAGCTGGTGTAGGTTTGTGTAGGAGGGATCTCTCCACTGCTGTGCCACAAATCAGCCAGGAAGTATGGAAGCTCATGTAAGTTGACACAGGTCTATGATGTGAATGACCGAATGCCTCATTATATATGACACATCCTCATCCTCTGTTTATGGTGGCTCTGGCTGTCCTTTGCTGGATTCCAGAAACACTGACCTCTGTACTATTCCTGAAACATAGAAAAACTGACCATGCCTCAGGGCCTTTCACTTGTCTTCTTTCTTCCTGGAATGCTCTTTTCACAAATGGCCCACTTTCTCACTTCCTGTCACTTTATCACAGAGACTGTCCCTGACCACTCAGTATAAAACAGAGGCCTCAACTGCTACCACCCACATCCCTCTTACTTTATTTTTCTTTTACTTTTTATACCCCTTTATTTTTCTCCAGAGCCCTAACAGGTTTTTGTTGATTAACTGTCTTCTCTGTAAGACTCATTATGACAGAGATTTTATTTTGTCCACCATAGTTTCCCCAGTGTGTGAAAAAAACATCTAGCAAATAGTAGGTACTGAAAAATCATTTCTTTTGAATTAATAAGTTTTGTCTTTGTATCTCTAAAGACATAATAGGCAGCCCTATTATGCCATAATATTTATTGAATATATAAGTATATAATACTTAGCCTGGCATATGAGGCCTTTCACAGTCCAGCATCTACTTAGCTGACACCCTTGTCATGTCCCATTCCCCCTTCCTGTCCTAAGGGCTGGTCACCCTGAAACTCTTCTCTTGCTGTGGCCCAGCATGCCACGCTCTCATGCCTGCCTTTGCACTTGTTATTCCTCCTTCCTTCTGTGTGATGTGCCGTCCTCCCTCACCCCTCCAGCCCACACATATCTGCCCCCAAATCAAAATTTCTGTTGCTGATTCATGACGGATACACTAGTGGCTCTTTTCACTAATATTTTTTCATAATGCATTTAACATTGTCTTCCAGCCTTTGTTGTAGTATACTTCCCCTCAAATTGCAATTGTATTTGCCTTGTCTCCTATTCCCCTCTCTAGCAATTTTGAGGTGTGCCAGTGTTTTATTCATTTGTCTTCATACGGTGTCAAATAGTAGTAGAGAAAGAATGATGGCTTCCATTTGTGTCTCTCCTGCCCCCAGACACCATGCTGAAGGCCCTTCATACCTTCTGACAGATCTTCAAAAGAACTTTGCAAAATTGGTATCACTTATGCCATTTTAAATGTTAGGTAATGGAGGCTCAGAGAAGGGAAGCAACTCAGCCAGGGCACCAGGCTAGTAAATGTCAGAGCCACGCTTCAAACCCAGGTCTGCCTGTAAGCAAAACCCTTTGTCCTTTCCATAGCATGAGGGCTTAAATGACTTGATGTATGTTCCTCGTGAAGGAAATACCATACTTTAAAAATGAAATCATATTTCTAGTATTTTTTGATGTCTGTAAAGGTAATAAGCATTATAAATCTTTTTGAGAAAATGCTTATTTGCTGTATGCATATTCTTACTCTCTTTTGCTTCCCCCCGCCCACGACCCCTCCCCCGCAACCCAGGCACACTCATGATTGGTAACTGAGTGGCTTTGTAATTTAAAAAGCTGAGAACTAGATTTGGGCATTTAACCCTGGTCCACTTAGGCTTTAGCTTAAGGGAAAAATACTTTTTGTGACATAAATGCCTAATCTGGCTTTTTCCCCAGTAAACAAACTGCATTTTTAAACTATCTTAAATCTCCAGATATACTTGGCATTTCTTTTTTTTTTTTTTTTTTTTTTTTTTTTTGAGACGGAGTCTCGCTCTGTCGCCCAGGCTGGAGTGCAGTGGCGCGACCTCGGCTCACTGCAAGCTCCGCCTCCCGGGTTCACGCCATTCTCCTGCCTCAGCCTCCCGAGTAGCCGGGACCACAGGCGCCCGCCACCACGCCCGGCTAATTTTTTGTATTTTTAGTAGAGGCGGGGTTTCACCGCGTTAGCCAGGATGGTCTCGATCTCCTGACCTCATGATCCGCCCGCCTCTGCCTCCCAAAGTGCTGGGATTACAGGCGTGAGCCACCGCGCCCGGCCACTTGGCATTTCTATAAGACTTTAGTAGCTCATCAGGACCCGATTGATGGTATTTCATTTTATCCCAAATGTGAAGAAAATATGTCTCCATGCATCATTTCATGGAAATATAATAGTAAAAAGCCCTGGCTATTCCCTGATGATTTCAAAGTGGGTTGGTTGGGTGGCTATTAAAAGTAGCTGCAAGTCTTAAGTAGTGCTTTCAGCACAGAAACGTTTCTCATACATTAATGAAATCACTTATGATTTCCAGATGTTCTTAGTTTTTTCATTTAATGATAGTATATTTGCCAAAATACATTTCTAGCTATTCCTAAAGAAAATCTTGTGTACCCATCTGTGCTACTTAAGGAATACATTTGTGAGCAAACTGTTTCATAAACACTTTTGTTTATAATTGTGTGAGACAGGGAAGAGTGACAATGGTTGAATTTACAAATTACCCAGAGAGCAAGGCTTAAAAAAAAATTAATTCGAGTGCAGTTTGTTTAAACATAAAATTATTAATTTGAATATCAGCCTTTTGGGGAGGATCTCTCCATCCCTCAGATGTCCTAGCCTGGTGTGGGTGCCACCAATAAGCAAAACCAAGTGTAGCCAAGTATTTAATATTCAGAGTAGATGAATAGTAGGAAAACAAGTGACAGTTGCGTATTTGTAAGACATGAATTATGCATCACTGACTTGCCAGCTCTTGACTTTTTACTTAAAAAAAAAAATTGCTCCCTGTGTAATTTTGGCTCATTTCCAGAGTCCGTATTCTTTACTGCTAGCTGAGATGAGACGCCAATCCCCTGTGCTGTTTGAATTTGCGCAACAATGCTTTAATACCCAGAGCTCCTCCATAAATAGTCTGTTCTCCCAATACTCAGTGAGAAAACAACCACAGGAAATCTGGGAATGTGCAGCTAGCCCCGCTTAATTGATCTAAGCAGCCAGGGCCGGCAGGGGAGCTTTCACGTACACAGCCTCTATTCCTGGCTTGCAGGACTGTTTACCTAAGGGGCAAAGAAGTCCACCTGCGAAAGACACCATGTTGCTACTACAGCCTTAGCAACAGCAGTAGCCCGGTTTTCATTGTTGTTGTTTACAGTCATGAGAGCCATACTCCTTTAAGAAAACACCAAACTCCTTTCCCTCATTCCTGGCCCCAATCAGTAATCACCAAGACTGTCAGCTGCCTGCAGTTATCGGGAAGAGCAGCCTGGGGAAAGTTAAAGGAGCACAGATGGACAGTTGCTTTCTGCATGCAAGTGGCCAGCTAGGATCCGGGGGGCATCAAGCCATGATTTTTATTTCTGTGCTGGATGCATTAGCAGCTGTGACTTGGAAGGTTTTATCCTGAAGGAGTGGAATTGCTGCAGACGTCTTGGGGTTTTGGTGAGCAGTAGATATTTGGGGACATTGTGCTGTTATTGCAGAGCCCCACAATGAAGATCCAGGAGCATCCCAGCCTATCTGACACCAAACAGCAGAGAAATCAAGATGCCGGTGACCAGGAGGAGAGCTTTGTCTCCGAAGTGCCCCAGTCGGACCTGACTGCATTGTGTGATGAAAAGAACTGGGAAGGTAGGGTTGTCTGATACTTGGATGATTTGCTATCATTAAAGCATATATAAATAAGCACAAATGAGAGGCATGTAACTATGTGAGAGTGTGGGTGAAAGAGCTATGCATGCAGAAGTAACTGCATTTCCAAATGACCGAAAATCCTTGACCTGTCATAGGAATACCTCAGGGTAAATGTTGCTGAGGGCAGTTGCAATCTAAGAAAGAAAACATGCTTGCCCTTTATCATAGTGTCACCTTGCAGGCCTTTTTTTTTCCTTTGTGACTCACCGGGAGTGCTGATATGTGTATGTCTTTTCCCCCTCATAGTACCAAGCAGAGTAATAGGGAACCGGTGTGCTTTTAGGATTTCTACCTTCTGTGGCGCGATCCTCCCACTGCTGCATGCCAGTCGCCTGCCTCTTTCATGAAATCTCCTTCCCGTTTTGGTTTGCTTTGTTTCTATGTTCGTTTTTATGGATAGATTTTTTTTTCAGGTTAACAAATTTAAGGGATTTGCTTATCAAAAAGAACACTGAATACATGCATCTTACTGAAAGCTTGTAATACAGTGAGTGCTTTAGATTGGTTTTTTTTCCTAGAGACTTTTGGTGAAAACATTAGAAATGTACTTGCGAGGAAGAAGAGAGTAGCCTTGTCAAAATTGTGTTTCAGGGAGGATATTGCAGCAGTTTTATCAAGCTGCTTATTCTTTCATTATCCATGTGTCTGCATCCAAACACATACCAATGTGGATCCAAAATAAATGCCAGTCTACCTCTATACAGTATGTGCGTGACGGCTGCAAGGAGGGAAAAATTGTGCACCTGATTCCAATACAGCAGGATGACTTAACACAATGACTTACCAGGAGGTCTTAGCTGTGAAAAATCAGTCCCGTTTCAGCACGTGGATCTCCTTGTCTTCTCTCCCTACCCGCTTTCCTCTCTTTCTTAACCAAGAAGTTATCTTAATGACCTTAGATGAAGGATCAAGAGGAGAGTTGAAAAGACCACCAGGTGAAAAAGAGTAAACCCCATTTCTGGCATCCAGGGCTTTAGTGAAAACAAACTTTTTTATTCTAGTTCTGTCCTTGAAAGCTAAGAAACCTGTTCTAGTTATTTTTATATAATTAGGCAGTGGGTTTCAGATTTTGTCAGATATTTTCAGCTCAAAATGTATTCACTGAGCAGCAAAACGCAGGGTTGTTTAATTTGTAATTTCAGTTATATATTCCTGAGTACCTTTCTGTTCTTTCATTTTTGAGTACTGTGAAATAATCATGTTAGTTTTTAATTCATATATTAAAAACAACCTGTGCCCCCACCTCCCCCCAAAAAAGTCCCATAGTAGTCACTGTTACCCAAATAAAAGAAAAATACAGTAACCAAAAAATAAATGTTATATTTGTGTCTTAGTGATATGGTCTACCCTAAAGCTCTAGATAAAAACTAGGATTTTTGGTTAGAATTCAAATTAGCCACATTTTTTCTTTCTCCTGAAATGGACTCAGTTTGTTATTTTTATCTTGGTTAGTCATAAATTTATCATCTCTCTCAGCCACTTAAATAATGCTAATATAAAGCTGAGAATACTCTTCAGAGTGACTGAAAGCCAGCTTATAGTTTCCTTAAAACTATTTTATTAACATAAAGAATTTTCCTTCAGATAATAATTGAAGGAACCAGCATTTCATTTTAGAAATCTAGATGGATTTTTTTTTTAAAAAGTTATTGGAAAAAAATATGTTGCATTTCAATAGGCTTGGGAAAGTGGATTGTGTATTCCAAGTAGTTTTTGAAATAACTTTAACTTTTTGTTTTTGTTTTGCCATTACTGCGTTTGTCATTGAATGTACATATCTTTAAAATCTACATGAATTCACATCAAGGCCATTCTGATCATTTGATTACTGCTTTCAGTGACCTTTTTTTTTTAAGCTTATGTACTTATTGTAACTTTCCAAGTTACATTATAGCACTAATATAGCTATAAGTATAATGAAAGTAAGGAATTTTTGCATAAAACGAGAGCAATAAGTCTGATCACTAAAATATCACCTTTTTTTATAGCTAAAATAAGAAAATTGTGTCTTTCCAGTAAGGAATAAACTTTGCACGAATTTGTGAATGTGAAGCCAGTGCAACAAAATATGTAAACGAAAGTCATAATTACCAAAAACCTCCTGAACCAGTATCCACCTACAAGCCCCCATCACCAGTCTTCAAGGCACCATCCCCTCTTTTTTGGTTTGGTTGCTCCTTCCCATCCCCATACCATAGCTCCTACTCTCACATTAATGTGGAATCGCAGAATGTCAGGTGAAGCAATACTTAACTGCAGAGGCGAGCACCAGCAGGCTATTCACTAAGTACTGCCCCTCCACACAAAAATGATGTTCATTGGCTTCTGGGGCTCAGTATCAAGTAAACAAAAAGGGAAATGAAACTAATAAATAGATTCCGTAGGACATGTGGAATGGAACTCTCGCAAAGTGAATGTAGGATCCGAGTCTGGTCATGCTTATTGGCAAATACTAAGCATACTTTATCCTTTTTAAATATACATAGCTGTTTTATTATTTGATTTAGCCACATGACTATTATTACTAGGATTTCCAATCACCAGAGTTAAATGAATATACAGATTTAATGTACTATTCTGTGTTATTTAAAGCTCTTCAGAGTTGCATAATTAGAATGTTCCCAAGCAGTCAATTATGTTGATTTGAGGATACTCCTTGTGTAAGCACTGGGGTTTAAGCAGTCAGCTACTCTATTCAGTATGTCCTGATGAAATTA
The DNA here is from genome assembly GCF_000001405.40 of Homo sapiens. NCBI lineage: Eukaryota > Metazoa > Chordata > Mammalia > Primates > Hominidae > Homo > Homo sapiens. Next base: position 88,755,973 of record NC_000004.12, on the reverse strand, counting down.
AATTTAAAGGGGCATTTTAAGCCGGGCATGGTGGTATGCGCCTGTAGTCCCTACTACTTAAGGGACTCCGGCTGAAGCCGGAGGATCACTTCAGCCCAGGAGTTCAAAACCAGCCTAGGCAACATAACAATACCCCATTTCAAAAAATGGAGATGGGTGGTATTTTTAAAAGGGCATAAGATACTTCATATATCTAACTCATCACTTACTGCTTGTTGAAAATAACTTTGGAAAGGAAATTCTCTAAAAGTATCATAGAAAAACAAGAGATCTTAAAAGATATTCCACTTGAACCTTCCTATTATACAGATGAGAATACTGAGGCCAAAAGAAGCAAAATGATGATTCAAAGTAACAAAGTCTCCTCATTTGCACCTGATGCCTCTTTCTAAACAATGTCAGTTTTATATCCTTGTGGGCAACAGATCAAAGTGGTTACAAGCCAGATTCCCTGGGTTCAAATCCTGGCTCTGCTGCTTATCAGCTTTGCGACAAGTTAGTAAACCTGCCCTGGTTTTCCATCTTTAAATAGGATGGTAACAGTAGGTAATAATGAATAGTAGATACAGTAGTATCTACTTAATAAGTTTATTGCAAGGATTAAATGAGCTAAAATATGCTAAGTGCACAGCACAGTATGGGCTCATAGTAGGCACTATGTGTGTCAGTTTTATCTTCCATAAATATTTCCAAGTATAGTTTCAGGAAAAATCAGCCTAAGTTTGCCTTCTTTGAAACCAGAGCGCAGTTTACCGAATGGCCATGGGTGGCTCTGAACACAAGAGGAATTGGTATTACTAGGTCCTCTACAGATTTATTAAGGATTAACCATGTCACACCAACCTCCTTTCTTTCTTTGATATTATTAATACTAGACTTTAGGTTGGGGAAATGGTGCATTTGAAAAGACTTCACCTGGGACTTTGACGGGGCGTTAATGATAGCCCGACTGTCAGAGAAGTGGGAGAGAAGACAGGTAGGGTAGTGAATTAGTAACTGATTAAGCAGCTGTTCTTAAATGTGTAGATAAATGGATCAAAGTCAGCTCAAATGGGGGTATTCTCATTAGGTAAAAAGTCCTCAGCCCTATCCTGTTCCACACATTTATTAATGATTTAAATGGAGCTATTAAGGGCTTGCTTATTAACTTTGCAAACAGGGACAAAGCAGATAAATGTAAGGATTACATTTGTGATTGATAAAGCTGACTACTCTGGTTCTTTCTAACTCTGTTGGTTAACAAGACTAATTGAACAATTTCATAGGACTAACATTGTTCTAAAGTTAAATTTTGGAACACTAAAGAAAATTTTTTAAAATTCTTCCAGTAAAGAGCCTCCACCATGAGGCTTACATCTTTTTATGTCTGGGATGTCCAAGTACCTCCTAGCTCAGCTGAGCAGAAAAATGGTTACATCTTGCCAAGGAGTAATGGCTCTAAATAATATAGTTGGAAAGGGAATGTGGAAAACATCGGCCCCCTTAATTCTGTGCAGATTTCTGAGAAATCAATCATCCCAGTACCCGGTTTTCTTTTGTATAGTAAGTGGATCCAGCCAGCTAAGCAGAGAGTAGCTTGTCCCAGTGACCATGTTAGCGTTACTCAGAGATATGTTCCCTCTTTCTACAGAAAATTTCCGTTATATCCATGTGTACTATAGTGTCTGAACTGGAACTCCCCCAGGGCCTAGTCTTTTTTTATTACTTCAGTAGCAAGCATGCAGCTTTTATCTCTGTTATTTCCGACCTGCTGCAATGTCAACTGACCTGGGTGGATTAATTTTTAATAGAGAGGCATGTCATACTTATGTCCAGAGTTCACTGTGACAAGACACATGTCTAAAAGCAAAACTAACTGTACACAAGGAACTTTGGTCTAGATATGAAAATGCATTTATTTTATGTGGTGGTTTAGCAAGACAGTCCAGTGTGAAGCCTCACATCCCTCCTGTTTTTCCCTTTAAATAATTTTCTTGCAACATTCCTATCTCTCTCCTTGCTCTAGAATTGCTAGTTAAAATATAAAATATTTCCCAAAGTAGCAATTGGGAATGGTCAGGGAATGGTCGGTGAATACATCCTCAAAACCGGCTCTCTAGGCAGGCAGTGAAATTGTACCTGTTATCTACCACACTACCTTATTTAGTACTTTGTTATTGTTCTAGTTGAGTGCCAACTATCAAAACATGAGCCTTGTGCTTTTAGATCATTTCAAACTAAAATGGGGAACAGTTTTATTGATCCCTTAGTTATACTGAACTGTGTATTACATGTCATTTTATAACTCTTTTGAATAGAAGCCTTAAATTATAAGACTATCGAATAACAGAAAAGAGAGAAAAAGGAGAGAATCAGGTAAGCATTTTGTGTTGCATAGATGAGAAACCTTTCACTTCCGTTCTACATGCATACTTTTTATTAGAGTTGAAACTCATATAGTTTTACATTTCTCATTTTAAAATAAGTGAATTCATTCACCCTAACTATATGCTTTAGGAGAAAATGTCACTGATAAGCTAGAATTACTGCAGCTGTGTATTTCGTGTATACCATGGGAGACGCTAGGAAAAGGACACATTTGATTTCCTTGTCAGTAAAGCAACTGATCAAGAATAAAGCCACAAAATAAAGCTGTGTTAACAAAGAAGAAAACTGATGGATGGCCCTGCCGTTAGCCACAAAGCATCAAATAATGATTATTCAGTTCCATGATTAGCATTTTCTAGTGAATTCAAGATCAGTTTATCTTATCACACACTCTTATAAGTAAAAATTTGTATACACAGAGACCACCTAGTTGAAAACTTAAAGATGAGTTATAACATTTTTAAGGAGATATTCTGCTAGATTCTAACACATTAAAGGGCTTCAGGATGTAAGGTAACACCTTTTAAACTAAGATTTTATGAATAGAAATGTCAAACTAACCAGCACACTCATATGCCAATATCAACATCAGACTTTGCTTTGCCAAAGCCCTCTGTCCCCAGGAAAGCTCCGTGCCCTGCCCCCAGTGGCTTTGCTGCTTTGCCACTCTGCGGTGAGCTTATTGCCTGCTGCATTACTGTTCAAGCCATCTTAACCCTTTCCCTCTCCTGGGGAAAGTCCTTGCAGAAAATTACTGGTGTCTTATGAAATATCATGACAGAAGATGCAAGCTGGTCAGTTTAATAGTTCCATTTTCTGCAGCTGACATGTTTTATTTTTTCTAGTGGTTGCTTTCCAGTCCCCCCTCCTTACTTCGCCTCTCAGTCCATTTTTTATTCTTTTATGTTGGCGTTTTGAGCTGCTTGTGCCCAAGTCCTACCACTTAGGAGGAGCAGACCGATAGTGTTAGTACAAATGATGAAACACCTCCTGTTCGTGTCCAGCTTTAGCCAGGCACATCTACCAGCATGTCCTCTGCCACTTTTTGAGCCTCAATAGATAAGAATCTGTCTTTAACACTGCTTTCATTTCTTAAAATATTTGTATTTTTATCTGCATTTCCAGATAACCTAGTTCTCTTTAAATTTCGAGAACCTGTGGACTTCATTCCATATAAAGTTAATTTTTTAAATTAATGTGCTTATCCTCCCTATTATATGGGGTCTACTAAAATCTCAGAAAGTTGCCACTCTTATGGAAGCACTTGGCACATTCTAAGTTGAAGCACTGATCTGGAAGTCAGGAGACTTAGCTTCTAGACCCACCTCTTGGGGTTTCAGTTTCCTTATCTGTCACCTGCTGGGTTGGATCAATCGTTCTCAAACCTGGCTGCACATGAGCATCACCTGGACAGCTTTTAAACTTGTGTGTGTGAGGCGCACATATCTGGACCCTCACCTAAATATTGTTGACTTGGATAGTATGAGGAGCCTGCGTGCTGGTAGCCATTTATATTTCCCTGTGTGACTTTAATGTGCGGCCAGGATTGAGAAATCACAAAATTAGTTGAGGTATGAAGTCACACCCAGCTGTAACATTCTAGGATTATATATTTTTAAATAGAAGCCTGAATAAGCACTTATTTAAGATAGTTTTGCACATTTTATAGTATGATAGGTAGAGGAGCAACTGTTCCCATGATTCAAAGTCTAGGAATCCCAGAGTTTAAGATCATAGCCAAATTCTACCGTTGTGTAAATCACAGTAATCCACAAGTAAATTTCAAGCATAACTCATTCTATAATGCAAACATTACAAATGAAATACCTTATATCATCGACATCTATTTTTTAAATCTTTTAGATAGGATTTTGTTTAATGAGGAAAGGAGTCTATTGAGGTAAGTCTTGCAGTAAATAGAAGTAGACAGTTGCCCTCTTCTCTCCCTAAATAACAGATCAAGATTTTGTGCTGAGCGTGTTTTTTTTTTTTTTAACAGATTATCTAAACTGATTTGTACAGATTTGTCCTTTGTAAGGTGTTCGTTTTTCTTCTGTTGGCTAATTTATGTATGCATCTCACTCTAACTGGAGTCTTGAGCAGCTTCTGAAGTTTCAAGTGCAAAGCATGCATCTTAAATGTGCTAATCCCAACACACTTAAGCAGAAGCACACAAAACAGCTTACTGGATGACCTCAAGGGAAGTTATAAACTCCTAAATACATAGGCTCTCTCAAGATTGATGTGGTTCCTTAGCTTGACTCCTCGGTTGTTTGGTGAAGGATGTACAGCCGTGATACCAAATATCTCCCCCACCAACACATTTTCTTTTCTTTGTTTTTTTTTGTTTGCTTGTTTGTTTTTTGAGACAAAGTCTCACTCTGTCGCCCAGGCTGGAGTGCAGTGGCGCAATCTCTGCTCATTGCAAACTCCACCTCCTGGGTTCAAGCAATTCTCGTGCCTCAGCCTCCCCAGTAGCTGGGATTACAGGCATCCGCCACCACGCCCAGCTAAATTTTGTATTTTTAGTAGAGATAGAGTTTCACCATGTTGGCCAGGCTGGTCTCAAACTCCTGACCTCAGGTGATCCGTCCGCCTTGGCTTCCCAAAGTGCTGGGATTACAGGCATGCACATTTTCTTTTCATTGATGCCATCACGTGGAAGAGTTTTTATCACTAATTGACTGGGCTTCCCCCCTTCAAGGCTGCTCCTCAGGGTAGCCTAGCAAATTCTCTTTGGAAAGCCAGTGAGAATGGAAACGAGAGGTAGACAGATGATGGCTGTCAGACATATTGGTGATTTCAGTTGGGGCGCGGTGTCCTTAGCCTGGACCTTAGCTGTAAAATGAGAAACGATTCAATGGGCAGCTTCCTAAAGCATCTGGGAAGCCTGGGAAACACTTGTGTTTTAAAGAACAACCCTGACCTCTTTCAGGAACAGTCCTGATCTTACTGCCCTTATCTTCCAGAGCCTATCCCTGCTTTCTCCTCCTGGCAGCGGGAGAACAGTGACTCTGATGAAGCCCACCTCTCGCCGCAGGCTGGGCGCCTGATCCGTCAGCTGCTGGACGAAGACAGCGACCCCATGCTCTCTCCTCGGTTCTACGCTTATGGGCAGAGCAGGCAATACCTGGATGACACAGAAGTGCCTCCTTCCCCACCAAACTCCCATTCTTTCATGAGGTATGTTTCTCTGTGTTGCTGATAGACAAATGCATCATCCCCACAACATCAGAAAAGAGGAATGGCACTGATAGTGAATAATTTTTTTTAATTAAGTCGTGAGCCTATGGAGCAACATATTTGAAATTCTCCATCCTAGGACACAGGCCATGTTGTAGTTTCCCATTTGAGCTGTGGCCCAACTGCAACATCACATATTGAATTTTCTTAGCGTCTCCTTTCCAAAGCGCTCTCCAATTCAGCTCTTGTAGGCCCACAGGAAAGGTTGATGTCCAGTCCTACTTTGCTAATTATAAATGTGAGCTAGAAAGCCTAGATGTACTTAATAGGTGGGACATACCAAGCTCCAATGGATCACTCAAGTGTCTTTTATTCAAGAGGAGAGAGGCTGTTTTGTCTCCGCACTGCCCCCACCCCACCACCGCATGCCACATGGTGTCCCACTTCCCCAGGGCCCCTCTAGGCAAGCAGTGACTGCTCCTGGGGAAACTGACCCAAGTCGTACTCTTCACAGGCGGCGAAGCTCCTCTCTGGGGTCCTATGATGATGAGCAAGAGGACCTGACACCTGCCCAGCTCACACGAAGGATTCAGAGCCTTAAAAAGAAGATCCGGAAGTTTGAAGATAGATTCGAAGAAGAGAAGAAGTACAGAGTAAGTGTCCCCTCACACTGTTCTTTTCGCCTCATCCTCTCCCTGGACATGGCAGCATTTCAGCAACTCAAAGAAACGACGAAAGGTTAAGGGAGGCTTCTAGGGAATCTTACAACAAAAAGGCAGTAAACCCTGGATAGTACACCCTGATAAACCCCAGTCATTATGTATCAGCATTTTCCTTGCACAAGTGTATTCTTACAAAAAAAAAAATGAAAGCTTAAGTCTACATTTTATAAATTAATCAGTAAGCAGGAACTGGAGAAATTGTTGAATGAAATCCTTTGTTTGACTAAAATTTAATTCAATATTATCTTCTGAAATCTTGTTAGCACTGAGCTCGTTCTGCTGTCAGCTCTGTACCACAAGAGTGGCAAAAAGGCATTTTTGTGACGGTTGCTGAGCAAAACATCATATACCCCTCTGTTTTCTACACTGTTCGTCTTACAGGTTGAACCCTACAAATAATGGCAAGGGGGTCATGGACCTCACAGAAGTCACTGATCATAAAGATGCATTTTGCCTCTGAGGAATTTTTTGAAAGCATCACAATAACCAAATATAAAGAAGGATAATGGAATTACATTTGTGACATTTGCTCTGATTGGTCGTGTTTAATTTCTTATTCTGATGGGGCTCAACTTTTCCTTCCTATTTAAAACAAAAATGATCATCAAACACTTCTTACTTTCCCTGCTCCAGTTCCAAAGCATTTACTCTAGACTTCCTTTTCTCAGCCTTCCCACAGTGACAAAGCAGCCAATCCGGAGGTTCTGAAATGGACAAATGACCTTGCCAAATTCCGGAGACAACTTAAAGGTGGGTAAAATTCTGGAGCTGTGGCTTCTGTACAACAAGCCAGGTGCAGAATCTCTCACCTCCTCTCCCACTGAGTGCCACTGCTAAGGCATTCCCCGGTCCTTAAAGATGCTTCCCAGCACTCTCAGCTATTCAGAGTGACCACTTCCCCAGGTCTTCACATGGTCTCAGTCACAGGGCAACCCGATCAGCTAAGAGGCGAATTCTGCAGCATTTCTTCATTTCCCTGGATCACTAATAGAAGGATGATGGTTTCAAGTCAGCATCTCTCAACACCTGTTTAATCCAAGTCTCCATTTGCTGTGGTGGTAGAAGCAAACAAGTAGACACAGAGATGAATCTGCAAAGGGTATGGCCTCCATCCCTCAAAGAGATTCCCATCTTTTCAGAGACACAGTCATGTAAACAACTAAATAGAATACAAAGTGAACCTAATTTCAGAATAAGGTGTGTAAGTCATACAGAAAAGGTTGGCCAGTGGCTGGGCATTAGATCACTAAATACCTTTAACCACTGAAGGAGCAAGGATGCCACATTCTGAGAGCATCATACAGGCTGATGTGGCTAAAGCTTTCTCAGCAATTAGTGTTAGGGAAACATTCCATGTAATCAAAGAAAATGTTACCATTCTCTCAGGTTTTACATAATAATTCAGGGATTTCTACTGATACTGTAACTAGATACTCTCTGAAAAAAGAATAAGTTATTGATACTACAGAAAAACAATTTGTGTTGGGCAGACATCAAATCTCATATATCAGGCCGGGCGCAGTGGCTCACGCCTGTAATCCCAGCACTTTGGGAGGCCGAGGCAGGAGGATCATGAGGTCAGGAGATCGAGACCATCCTGGCTAACATGGTGAAACCCCGTCTCTACTAAAAATACCAAAAAAAATTAGCCGGGCGTGGTGGCGGGCACCTGTAGTCCCAGCTACTCAGGAGACTGAGGCAGGAGAATGGCGTGAACCCAGGAGGCGGAGCTTGCAGTGAGCCGAGATCGTGCCACTGCACTCCAACCTGGGCGACAGAGCGAGACTCCATCTCAAAATAAATAAATAAATAAATCTCATATATCTTTACCCCCAAATCTTCTCAACTAGAATCAAAACTAAAGATATCTGAAGAGGACCTAACTCCCAGGATGCGGCAGCGAAGCAACACACTCCCCAAGAGTTTTGGTTCCCAACTTGAGAAAGAAGATGAGAAGAAGCAAGAGCTGGTGGATAAAGCAATAAAGCCCAGTGTTGAAGCCACATTGGAATCTATTCAGAGGAAGCTCCAGGAGAAGCGAGCGGAAAGCAGCCGCCCTGAGGACATTAAGGTGCGATCATTCTGTGAAGTGCTAAGCCCTAAGCCATTGCAGTCAATGTGGTAGAGACACAGGGCATGCCACGTGAATCCCAGTGGGAAGATGATGCCTTGTTAAGCCTTCCAGGCTGTTACGTGTCTAGGGAAGCTGATGAAACAGCTGCAGAGTGCGTTAACTGTGGGTGCTTTGGTTTTTGACTACAGATTGAAAACAAAACTCTATTGTATAGATTACAGAATGAACTTGTTTAGGTTAATAGCTGGTTTTGTGACTCTGAGGTAGAAGGATTAGAGACAAACCTTTGGGACCATGTAACGTATAACCGTCGTCATTGCTTGGGCCATTAAGCTAAGCCCCATGTGCCTCACAGCCCTGCTTACCTCAGTGTTCACCTTACCTTTGCTGCCGTGAGGGAGATCCAGGTGGCTGATGATGATTCTGCTGTGCTGGCCACGTTTCTCCCAAGAGCTCAGGAGTAACCCATTTTTAAATGAACTTTGGATAGAGCTAGGGAGAGCTGTTATATGAGGGTTCTTTTTAGCCTTGCTTTAGTAATTTAAGTAAAGAAGTTGGAATGTTCACACACATTTTCCTCTCTTTCAATTCTCTATCCCTGTGTTTATACAGGATATGACCAAAGACCAGATTGCTAATGAGAAAGTGGCTCTGCAGAAAGCTCTGTTATATTATGAAAGCATTCATGGACGGCCGGTATGTGATGTAGTAAATTTTCTGATTGGGGTCAATTATCTGGCTTTAGAAATGGATTTTCTATGTTCAGTATTTTACAAATGGGGTTCCCTAATGTTTGCTTGCTTTACTTTTAGGATAAAGGAGGTTAGTATATATTTACACCATAACTAAGCTTTCTGAAGGCTTAACCAATAAGAAAGTTCTATCTAGTAGATGTGGAACTTACTTGGGTTCCAATGAAAAATTGGTTTGCAACTAAAATTTAGTCATTAATGTACCGCTTTAAAGGAAGGAATGGTGGAGGGGCCAGGGGTCGGAGGGGCAGAGTATAGGGCATAAAGACCCCTGGAGTTTGGAGACTTCCCTGTCCCTAGGTCTCCCCCAATAAGCTGTCACTGTAGGCTTCCTCATCCATAAAATGAAAGGTGTGAAACTAGAATGATCTGCCTTAGAATTCAATCTCTCTGCAATGCAGTGCAACTAGTGTTTGTAAAGAAGTTCCAGCTGCCGTTCAGAACCAGAAGCGTGAGGAATCCAAAATATGGCTTTGCCTTTTCATAACAACGGGAAGCATTTGAGGTGGCTTGCCGTTCAGCAAGCATTGCTTAAATGTTTGTTGTTAGCTGTGGGGGAAACGGTAGCATGATAGGCTTCTGCTCTCTTCCCTGAAGAACTTTTCATCAGACACCCTTCTTGTCAGTCACTCTTAATAACCTTTTGTTCATAATGTTGTCAGAGACCTAACAAAACAAATTTTTAAAAGCAGGTATAAGGAAGCACGAAGTTTAGGTTCACTGATTATTTTTATATAGCCAAAAAGTATAGATCTCTTTTTCAGTCTTGGCCATGACTATATGATAGTCTTTTCATCTAAAATATGCTCTTTTAAATAAAGAAGGTTCCAGAATAATTCACTAGACTCTAAGGTGTGGGAGGTCAGGGATTCTGGGCTTTGTTCACCTAGTGGTGACCCCAGTCCTCAGTGTCTAGCACAAGACCTGACACATGACACAGGCCCAATAACTATCTGTAGAATGTCTCCTTGGTGGCATTTTAATTCTGAATTTATCAGGTTTAAATGTAAAAAAAAAAAAAAAATGCTGGCACTGATGATTCTTCTGCTGGCCTGTCCCTGCAGTGGAAAAATACTGACACTCTGGGATAATGTTCATGTTTCAGCCAAGCTTTGTTTGGGATTTTTTTTGAAGGCATTGAACCAAATAGTAAATGCTCTAGAGCTCAAATACACTGTGAAACTTTCTCCTTCTCCACCGGAATATTCAAAATGTGTAGAGGCAGAAGTGAACTTCTTTTATCAGAGAGACACTCCTTCTCCACAATAGGCTTAGAACCCTGCTCTGTGTAGCCATCTGGTAGGCCTCATGGAGAAGGTGTGTTTTCCTTCTTGAACATTTCCTCTTTTACTTCTGTGGATTTGGGTTATGACATTGATAGACACCTTTAAGGACTTCCATGCCCAAGGCCCTTAAGAGCTCACAGCTGTGTTCTAGATAGACTTCACCTTGCTGCCAATTGAGTATTTTGTGTGTTGTAGTATTTGTTGCTCTGAGTTGGGAACAGATTCCCTCATTCAGCCTGGACTGGGTCAGACACGTAGAATTGGCAGACCCAGATTCAAAACCCAGCCCCACTGAGATTAGCTCTATGACTTTGGGCTGCTTAGGTAACCTCTCAGAGCCTTGGTGCTTTGTCTATATAATAGATATCTGTTATAGATTGCCAAGGAGATTAAATGATGTTACAGACACACACACACACACAGACGTTTATCTGTATATACTTACCTGTAGGATGTCTGTCACTGAGGAAGTGGGGTGGGGTGGCTTTTACTGGGTCTGCACAGTAAATGATAGTTTTCACCTCTGTTACAATTACACGTTCTACTTTCTGTGGCCTCCTTCTGATTAAATGATTAAATCAGGCGAAAGAATGTGCATTTCATAGCTCTCTTATCATTAAGAATATGAACTATTATTCTTGGCCCTGCCTTATTATTCCCTTTCATCACTCTTTCAGGTGGGTCCGGATTCTAGCATCTCATAGGGTGGGGAACAAATGCTCTAGGAAATTTGAGTGTCATTAATTTCTGGTCCAGGGCCAAACTCTCTGCCTCTCTCTATTTGGAACATGATGCTCCAACCTCCTCAGGAAAAGCAGAGTTCATTTGATATCTGGCCAGTCTGAAAAAAAATCAAAGAGTCAACTTTTAATTCTTAGATTTGTGGTGTTACCATGGACCCTGGACTGTAAATGCCATGCGGACAACACTCTTCTTAGAAGAAAAATACATGTACTTCTAGAGTTAAACTATTGTTCCAAACCCCAATTGTTTAGAAAAGCAGGTGCTCAAAACTCAATGGATTTTTTTCTGAGTCTACAGATACTGATTTAAAAGGGCACTAACTACTAAAATCTTAGGCCAAAACTGTAATCAGCCGCTTCTGTACATTTTTAGCAAAGCTGTTTGCTTTCTCAGGGCACTCTGAGGGCACTCTGCAGAGTTACACATATATAAACACAAAAACACTCACTTATACACAGGCATATAATTCCCTATTATTATTAAAGTGCGTCCTCTTCAATGTTTAAGAATCTTCTCATCAAAAGACCATGTCACAGAAGTGCAGTAAATAACTACATGTCACTGTATTACTGTGTGTGTATCCCACTATTTGATAATGACCATAGAGGGGAGAGAATGGGTTACCTGATCAGAACCAGAAGCATACTCCATCTGATCTTCCTCAATGGAGTATTTTAATCTTATGTTTTTAAACCTTGAGGACCCTAAATACAGCCATGTTCAAATTTAAATGCAAATTCTGGAGCCATTTATAAATATTCTCCTTCGGTTAGCTGCTGTTTTGGATTTTCTGATCTTTTTACTGTCTATTATGATAACCTGATAATGAAGACAGAGTTGCCATTTTTCAAATTAACAGGCCAAGAATGCAACAGTTATAAGAATCCATCCCATTTTGTCTTCTCCTTCTAGCAGTTTGATGATTCAGAGGTATAGCCCTCACACACAAACTCAAACTACTTCTTGTTTTACTAAGAGTTTGAGGCCGCATAGTTTGTCTATGACATAATTTCTCACAAAGTTGTGTTTCTATGACACTGTTCATAAGCACAGATTTTTGTAAATTCAATATAGGCAAACTCTCAGCTTGGAAGGCAGAATTCTTTATATTATGAAGACAACTTGGCGAAACCCTATTAGAGAATAATGCTACATCTCTATGCTATATTGACTGCGCTATATTGATGATGCTGTATTGATGCGCTATTGATTGAGCATCCCAGATCCAAAAATCATCACGGTTAAAGATCCTACTTCTTATTTGTGAAAGAAAACAACTGGAAGTTCATAAACCTGGGATCTGGACCCATCTCTGTGGCCTTGAGCAAATCATTACCCTCTCTGGTGCTTAATTTTATCATCTAAAAAATAAGGCTTTTCTAGCTCTTAATATTTCATAGTTCTAATTTATCTTTAAAGTGAATATGTTCATTTTACCTTTCACCTTTGTGGTTTTGTCAGGTAACAGCAACTAAACTGATGTTTCAGTAGGGAAGAGTTTTATTTGAAGCTAAGACCAAAACCGTCACAAAAGATAAAGGCAGACAAATGCAGCTGCCTAATCAGGCCTTTTTGATTTCTGTTCAAGACTTGCCATTAATTAAATGTGGATAATTATTGGCTAGTGTTCCCTTTGTGTTTTGAAATATCCGAAATTTACGGGACAACCAAATAGGGTAGTAAAAGACCAGTAAATGACAATTTATTTGAATCATAAGGAAAGACGGAGTGGAAGTGCTGCTTTCTCCCCTTAGATCTTCACATCTGGATATTTATGTTGTTTGACTTATGTGCAAAAATACATCTTAATGATAACCCTAGTTCCACATATTGGAAGACCATTCAGCACTATCACTTTAAATAAAGTTTTGAAGCTAGAGGAGTGAAAGTATTTTGAAGAGATAATATACTACATGCCTGGCCTAAAGTCATTTCCAAGCAATTAGGAAGCATAAAGATTTTCTAATTTGAATTCTGCAATTTACCATTCAGGAAACTGAGGCTGAGAGAAGATCAGTGTAGCTCATTCAGAGCCCTATTCTTAGTGGGCAGCAGAATCCCTGAGCAGCTGATGAGTCAAGAATAAGAGATGTCAACTCAAACGGTTTTCCTGTGGTTAGATTTAATAGCTCTTTTTTGACAGTTCAGCGAAGGTCCTGCTTTGTTCATATAACTATGGATTAAATTTTGACCCCACTCACAAACTGAGCACTGATCATTATTATGATGGGTAAAAGTTGCATTAACTTGTAGTATCACTGAGCCTTTGGCTTCAAATATATATTATGAAAATGATTATGATAAAAATCAGGTCGTTATTCTTACCTTTCTCTTACCTCAGACTTAAAGATCTTTGATATTTTTGGTGCTTCTGTTAAATGACAATGGTTTTGTGGAATCATGAGTTTTAACTCTCCATAGTCAAAAACACTGGATTTTGTCAGATCACCCACAGGTGATTAGTTCCTGGGGGTCACTAATTGAAAACATGAGCAATTTGTAGAAAATCTAAATATCAATGTCATGAGCCAAAGAATTAAGCCAGTGATCTTCCTCATCTACTCCAAGTAGAAAACTTCGTTTTTGAACAAAGAGTAAGGAAGGAGATTGGTTTCTGTCAAATTTGTCACAACTGGTTGGTTTTACTTTGGTCTTCTGTTGCAGTCCAAAGATGTTTCTGCCAAATAACTAGTAATGGATGCTAGTTCACAGTGGGGATGCTGGCTGGTTCCTATTTCTACTTTTAGTATGTCTTTGGTTACTCAACCGTCTATTGTTTATCTTGCACATTATATTTCACCATGTGTCACGTGCTGACATTAGGATGCACTTTAATCTCATCTGCAACATATTCTATATCTTGTGTTTAAAAGATTATTACATGTGTCTCAGTCCTAAATTCTGTCATTTTACATGTGACATTGTACAAGTCACTTAATTTCTGTTTCTCAAACTTATTTGTGGCTATTGTTGCACTTTTGTTGAAGTACAGGTTGAGTATCCCTTATACGAAATGCTTGGGACCAGAAGTGTTTCAGATTTTGGATTTTTTCAGATTTTGGAATATTTGCATTATACTGATTGAGCATCCCAAATCCCAAAATCTGAAATTCAAAATGTTCCAATGAACGTTTCCTTTTGGCATCACGTCAGTACTCAAAAAGTTTCAGATTTTGGATTTTCAGATTTGGGATGCTTACCCTGTATAACATAAATGCAGAAAAGGGCCCAAATTATAAACATATGTCTTGATGAAATTTCACAAAGTACACACACCCAGGTAACCAGCACCCATATCAAAAAACAAAACGTTGCCGATCCTCCAGAAGCCTTGCTCATGTTCCCTTCGTCAGTACCGTGACTCAAGGTTCCACAGAGGAAAACCACTATCATCTAACTGTGTGGATTTTTCTTATTTTTGACCTTTATGTAAGTGGAATCTGACAGTATGTTTTGTGTCTGGCGTAATTTACTCAGCTTTATTATTATGAGGTTAATCCATGATGCATATAGCTGTGATTCACTTATTCTCGTTGCTGTGTAGTATTCAATTTGGGGAACATACTTTATTCTACCACTGATGGGCATATGGGCAATTTCTGGTTTGGGACTATTTCCAGTTTGGGATTATAGTGCTGCTATGAGCATTCTTACATATGTCTTTTGATGAACTTAAGGCCACCTTTGGTATATACTTAAGAGTGGAATTGATGGATCATAAGTTCAGCTTTAGTAGGTACTGCCAAATAGTTTTCCAAAGTGTTTCACTCTTACCAGCAGTGAAGGAGAGTTCCAGATGTTCAACATCCTTGCCAGCACTAGACACAGTCTTTTCATTTCAGCTCTGTGGTAGGTGTGTAGCGGGTGACATCTGTGGTTTGATCCTTAGTCTTTTTCTGTAAAATAATTTGGGTCCCTTCTAGTTTTGACAGTCATTGTTTATAAAATTATAAAACTCCTCATGGTATAGTACATAGTAGAAGCAGGAAAATACCAATTGCCCATTAGTTATCTGATAACAGAAGTGCAAGTAACATAAGGCTGTTATTCTTCTTGATCTTATTCTAACTTGTCAAGTTTATCCAAAGCACACTTGCTGTTGATCACTTTGAGAAAGACAAATACAAAAGGCAACAAAGGATCATCCATTTCTTCATAATCCAGAGTCATCTTCAAAGTTGAAGGCTCAAAAAACCCGTAAAAGAAATGGTCAAAGCTAACGCTACTTGCCTTCCTTACCTCTAAAACTCTTGCCTTATTATATGTGAAATAGTAAGAGAATGCAGGAGACAAACAGCTAACTTGAAGCAAAGATACTTCATCTCATTCCCCATTTAAGTAACCAATGGGACTGCATCTGTGAATCAGGCACACCTATTTATGTTTCAAATATTTATTCACTCATTTGACTGATATTTATGGAATATTTCCATGATGTCAGGCACTGAAATAGTTACTAGGGATACAAAAATATAAACTCCTGCTCTCAAGGGGCTACAGTCTCAAGGAGGAGACACGTGTCAACATATCGCTACAGTAAAGTGTAAAAGCATTTATGAAATTACAGGGTATGCACGGGGCAGGGTGGTGATTTCACAAAGGAGAGAATGGGTGAGTCTCCCAGAATGGGGGATGTTGGAAGAAGGCTGCACAGAGAAGTGGCTCTTCATCTGGAATTTGCCAAACAAAAGAGCAAAGAGGAAGCCATGGCAGGGTAGAGGGAATTGGACAAGAGGGTTGAGACAACCTACTTTATTTCTGAAGCTTGAAGTATGATGGGGAGGAGAAGCAGCAGATAGAGTATGAGGAGCTTCCAATACTATACCAGGGAGTTGAGTATGATTCCTCCCCACTGCCTGGAGAATCAGTCCTTTAAACATTTTTTAGCCCTGTGCCAGATTTTAGGGATACACAGATGAATCAGTTCATGTATTTTTCATCACATGTTCCTTGAATACCCACTGTTTGCCAGAATCTTCTTCTTAGAAACATAATTTCATAGAGGAGAAAGACAAGTAAATGAACTACATGATATGTATTTTTTTTTTTTTTTTTTTTTGAGACAGAGTCTTTCTCTGTCACCCAGGCTGGAGTGCAGTTGTGTGATCTCGGCTCACTGCACCCTCCGCCTCCTGTGTTCAAGCGATTCTCCACCTCAGCCTCCTGCATAGCTGGGACTACAGGCACCCACCACCACACTCAGCTAATTTTTTTTTTTTTTTTTGTATTTTTTAGTAGAGACGGGGTTTCACCATGTTGGCCAGGCTGGTCTTGAACTCCTCACCTCAGGTGATCTGCCCACCTCAGCCTCCCAAAGTGCTGGGATTACAAGCATGATCCACCATGCTTGGCCTACATGATACGTCTTATAGCAGATATATGCTTTCACTTTCCCTGGGCTCAGAAAATAGTCATCTGGGAACTCTGAACCTTGAGGAGTTTTAAGCAGGAAGCAGGAACCTAAGAATGATCCTAGTTTGGATTTAGAAAAAGCAGTACTACCAGTGGAGTGACTTCCACTGATCTGCAGCTGAACTAGGTAATCTGAATATTTATTGAATAAATAATATTATCAGTTTAAATAAATTCTGTGAGGGTAGTAAGACTTAAGTTGCATCATCTGGAGTTTCTCTAGAATTACAAAGGCCCAGAGCATGCTTAGACAGCTGGTTGTGACTCCCAGCAGCAGGCTTCTCATAGCTCTCATTCTTGCTTTTCAGGTAACAAAGAACGAACGGCAGGTGATGAAGCCACTATACGACAGGTACCGGCTGGTCAAACAGATCCTCTCCCGAGCTAACACCATACCCATCATTGTGAGTAGAATACCTTCCCGTGGCTGGTACAACACCTTTCCGCTTGAATGGGCCCTGGATATATGAATAGGGCCCTAACCTGCTTTCTCATTAAAGAATAGGCTTTAATTGCTGAATCAGCCATTACTATCCATGGCCCACAAGCTTGAGGAATGAAGACTTTATCAAAGACCCCTGAGGCTACATTTGTTAAAAATGGGCAAATCTGAAGCTGATAGAATTTATTTTTCCCTTTTGGAGGACATGCTTTGCCCAAAAGGCATGTACATCCATTGGATATACTGGGTCAGAGATGGAGCACCACGTGGGTAGGGCTGCACTTTCTCCAGGCCTCTTCACTCCAAAGAGTGCCGTTCTGATCCCAAGGCCCTCTGCTCATAGTCCCTCCCATCCAAGAGAGGGATAACTCCCTTGGGAATTGTGTCCAGGGAGAAAATCCTCTGAGAAACGAGAGAGAGGCCCTTCTTGGAGGATGTGGCAAGGTGTAGGAAAGGAGGCTACTCATTGAAGTTGCTGTCAGTGGCCACCATCCTTAAACTTTGCTGCTTTTGGCTCCTGGCTTTTGATTTTGTCAAGAGTAGGGAGCAGCAGCTTGCCTTCAGCGACAGGAAGTCTTTAGGGCCCAGCCACCTGCTCCCATCCCTCATCCCAGACTCAGCGTTTCCACCCCCAGCTTATGAGTAGGGTGTTCTGCCCTGTCCATCTCTTAGGGAAACATTTGCTTCTGTTTCAGTGCTCCCATCTCCTCTGCTGGCTTTTAGGCTCTTTAGCAGACACAAACTCACTTTGATGTTGCCGTTGCAATACATACTCATTTTAGCTGCTGCTCCTGTCTGGCCCGGCCTTAAATGCCCTTCTTATTTCTAGGCCTAGAATATTGTCTATTTCTTTTAACAATGTATTTAATGAAGAAAGGAGGGTCCAGAGATCTCAGGCAGGTGTATTTGAAGAAAGCCACTTTAATGTATTCTGGAGGAATGTCCTAAACTAACAAATAAAACGATTAGATCTAAGGAGTTGTTTTCATTCTCCAGGCAGGAACCCTTAGTGTCCCTAAGTAGGGTGAAGGTGCAACAGAGAAGTCAGCTCCCCTTTGTATTGCTTTCTGAGCTTATGTGATTCTCCTTAGCTGACTACAGCCGAAGTGTTCTTGTGGTTAACTGTGATTGGCAGGGGCAGCGATGGGAGGCAGGTGTTTCTCCTCGGGTTTCTTCTGCGTGTCTGCCGGATATACTCCTGTGCTGTTCTTGCTGTACTCTGTCCTCCTTGATTTATGTGTGTGGGCGCTGAAGGGAAGCAGCAACTTGGAAAAAGAACTTTTGTTGTTTCAGGTTTTCCTGGGAGTGTTTGGCAGGGAGGGATAAGAATGCAGAGTTAAAAGTTAATAAATACTGGTGAGGTCAGAGGAGGCCGAGAGCTGGAGGGAAAGGGAAAGGGGTTCGGAATGTAACCTACTTGTTAACACCTGTCACAGGGTTCCCCCTCCAGCAAGCGGAGAAGCCCTTTGCTGCAGCCAATTATCGAGGGCGAAACTGCTTCCTTCTTCAAGGAGATAAAGGTGAAGACCCCAGCTGCTAACCCATTGCTAAATCCGCACCAGTTCCCTCCCTCCTCCCCTCCCCTCCGGTGAATGGAAAGGGGGTGTGATCGGGCCTTTTGGTGGTGGCTTCTTACAGCATTCCCTAAAAATCAGTAGCTACATATAACCAACTTTGAACAGTTCCTCTAAAGAGTGCTAATTTCTCCAGTTCCATTTAGTTGATTTCTTTGGTTTCATTTTATTCCCCCCCTCTTTTTTGTATTGTCTGTTGTTGTTTTGTTTTTACTTCGCTTTCAGGGATTATTTTGTTTGGTTTTGTTGTCCACAATGCTTTTTGTTTGGTTTTGTTTTCTGTATTTGGGGAATGGATTTTTCTGTATTCCAAAATCTTAAATTAGCTCATTAGACCAACTTTAAAAGGAATCTCATATACTGTTTATAGAAAAATCAAAATTAACATAGGAAATATATATATAAACATATAAAACAATGAAAAATTGTACTTCTACAAATATCTTAGTAGTCTTTGACAGATTTGTGGGTGCAGTATTTCCGGCTTTTTTCCTTCTTGACTTTCTCATAGCACATTTAGTCCCCAGGACTAATTTTAAAATCTGCTCTTAATCTACGAATGAGGTGCTGTGAATGACTGATAGCTACCAGAACATATGTCCTGATTTTTTTTCCAGTAATATGGATTTTGTACAGATAATCCTTGTCATCGGTGGCTACTTTTGCTAGAATGCGAGATGTAATCTGTGCCCATAGATCAGTGTGTCTCTGTGGGACCCTAATTGGCCCGTACTAGGATCAGCCTCTTTCATGTTTTTGTTTCTAGACAACTGAACAAACTGGACTGCCTTATACAGAACTCTAGAGATGAAAAATCAAAGGCAATCATTTTTTAAAAAACAGTGATTGTTTTTCTAACAGTCATTTAACTCCAAAGCAAGAGTTAAACCTGAAGCAGAAGTGAGTTTTAAGAGTTTCACTTGTCATATTTCTGTGATAGTTCCGAGCCTGGGGCGATCATTTACGTGCTGTAGTTAGGAATGATTATTTCAGTATATGGGGCCCTCTTGTCTACTGAGGGAAACCAATTGAGAATTTCTCCATTTTCTTGTCTGAGGTAAGGTACCACAAGCTATAAAGTCTTCTTTTATGTATTCCTTTTCTTGCCTTTTGCAGATCTTGATACATCATATGCCTAATTTTATGGTATTAGGCAATGACTGTGCTCACTGTATTAAGTAGAACTTGTTTTATGAAAATGCTGTAAACACGGTACTTGAAATTTGGGCCAGTATACTATATTGTGTCTTTAAAAATTAGAGCTATTTTCTTACAATAAGCCTTGATGTTAATGAAAGACAAATTTTGTCTGGCTGGTAATGTCACCCAAGAATGAAACCACAGTAATTGGAGAAATTTGGGTAATTGTGTGTATGAAAATTAGCATGTTTCTCTTAGCAGCATGCAATAGAACCGTTACTAGATAAAAATGTGTTCTTGAACACATCCAAAATGTAGACACTTAATAAGGGTTTCACCAAATGAATTGAAGATAACCTAATGATGCTCTTTTTTATAAAAGACATTTTTCCCATTCTTATCCTTTAGCTTAATTTTTTTTCACAAGTATATTTTGGCTGTGGTTTATCTCCTGGCCCACATCATGGTCAAAATTTCAGATAATTTTGCAATGACTACTTTGCTTTTGTAAACAGTGCTGTCTTTTGGTTCACTTTGTTCCTGTTGGCCAGGCCTATTAGAAAGTATTTGGACTGTACTAATTCTTGGCAATTCCAGTTTAGAATTTGGTGTGTGTGCAGGTAAGATTGTATCTAAGTGGTTTCTCCAAAACTCACCCCTGGTTTTAAATGCTTTTGGGAACGAACCAGCTGTATATGAACTACAGCCAGCTCAGTTCTGAAGGCCTAGATTTTCCAACCCAAAGAAACCTAGAGATCATCTAATCAGTTCTCCTAGCCAACATAAGAATCCCCTCTAAAACTTCTCTGGCAGAATAGAGACATTGTCCCTACAGAGAGATTCCATCCTCAAGCTTAAAAAGTTTACAGCAATGGAAGGAGTTATGTCACTCACTACATAAGTATCAATAATAGCTGATAACTTATATTATTGGTTTTATAATTATTTGTTAATTACATAATATGTAATTTAAAATGTATAGGTTTGATAAATACCAAGTTAATGAAAATAGTTGAAATTATATTCATAGCTATTATCAATTTATTACATTCTATCCCATAGGCTTAGTTTTGCCCTTTGGAGCAACATGAGATAGACATACTGCTTCTTCCCTGAGAGCACTGCCTGTATTTACAGTCACCTGCCCTGCCCACTCCCACCCCACACCCTGTGACAATTTGTTATCCAAGTTCCTCTTACTCTTCCTTATGTGATACGGGTTCCAGACCTTTCAGTGGTCTCCTAGCTCTGCTGTGTGCACACACACCAGTTTATCAATGTTGCTGTTAAAACTGATACCCGGAACTGGACATTAACCTGCATATGGTTTAACCAGGACAGTGGACCAAAGACTAGTCCTTACATTGATCTGGATGACTGAGACCCTTTCATGCCTCCAGTTTCTTGCCTATGCAACTGACAAGGTATTGGGAATTCATTTTGGCCTTTCTGAGGATAGGGTGTCTCAGCCTCAGCACTGCTGACCTTTGGGGCTGGGTAACTGTTGTGCAGCACTGCCCTGTGCTTTGTGGGATGCTTACCAGAGTCCCTGGCCTCCACCTACTAGAGGCCAGTAGTGTGGCACCACCACCCCTTCACCAGTCGTGACAGCCAAAAATGTTTCCAGACATTGCCCGATGTCCCCAAGGGAACAGATCACCCTGATTGAGAACCACTGCTCATGGCCCTGGCATATGGCCCTGACTCATGCTTTGCTGTATACTTGTGCATTGCCACTGATGTATCCAGCTTCTCTTTTTCCTAATTATAGGGCCTTGAATTTTTCCAATTTGTTACGTCTCATACTTCTATTTCAGCTGTAGGAAATACACTAAATCTAGCTTTTTTACTCCAACATATCAGATATCCCTACCCGCTTTGTATTATCTGTACATTTTGAAATATGCCTTTTCTTTGTCCAAGTGACTCAGATACTGAGTAAGGCAGGGTCAGGCAGAGGGGCTGCTGTAGACTGCCCTTCAGGTTCATGTCACCCTTCAGTCATTACTCAGCAGAAATTTGGGAAGCCAGCTTTCCTTTCGTAGGGTCTGCTTACCTGGTTGTTTATTGAAATCCAAATACTACATCTATCAAAAAAGGAAAAATGGTTCATTTTCATGACTCATTTTTAAGGAACCAGTCTCATCAGTTGATCACTGATTTTTCCCAATTGCTTATATATTATCTATGTATTAATTCCTTCTAGAATCTACCCAGTATCTACAACACTTATGATGGTTGTCTTATTTGAAAATCTATTTGCTATTTTTCCTCGTGATTTTCAAAGGCTACTGAGAGTAATTTTGTTACATTTATCTCAAAAAATATTGAGTGCTCACTATGTGCAAGGCACACTTCCACACTTTTAAGTTCTCTCAGGACTTTGGGATATAATTGATAAGGCCTAGACACCTGATTTCATTAAAGGTCGTTAAGTTCTTATTTGTAACTCTGTTAGCTGTCCCTAACTCTGTTAGGTGTTTATGCTCTTCTAATAGTAATTTTTTGTAGTTCTCTTTTCAAACTGAATTACTAGACTGCTTAACAGCCATTTATTGGCCATATGCAAGCATTGGCCAAGCTCTGGGGACAGCAGTAAACAGGCCCCAATTCCTGCCTTCACTGAGTTGGTCAGATACTTCTACCCTGTTTTCCTTATCCAGGGGAGGGGAAGGAAGAGAGGGAGCGGAAAACTGATGTGCACAGCCAGTGTCCCAGGTGTGCCTTATGAGGTACCTGACACACATTATCTCAATTTTTATCAAAACTACGTCGATGGGAATTGTTATTACTCTTACTAAAACAAAAAGAAACGTATTCATTTAAAAAGTCAATTTTACTTTGTAAACTTTTAAATGTTTTTAACAATTTAAAGAGACTCAAGGTCTGAAGTCACAGCTGAGACAATCTGGAAAAGCCACCTAGCTTTTGCCAATTTTATTTTCATAGCAATACTTTGATATCAGTTATATGATAGTCCTTTTTTGTTTTGCTTTGTTTGGTTGCTTGTTTATTCACATTATTTCTCTTCAGAAACACCCTTATTAAACATATCAAAATTTACCATGAACCATTTGCACACTTGTACTTTGCCCGCCAGCGGGAACTGCTGCGGCCTCCTGAGATGTTTTTGCTGCACTGGCATGGAAACCATTTGGTTTACCTGTAATAATTGGTGCTATGCATACCATTTTTTATGTGGCTGTATTCCGAACCAATTTTTAAATTTTTTAGGATAGTAAGTTATTCTCTGTGGTCTGACTACCTTTTGGCAGTACATCACTTGTTTTGAAATCTTTCACACTCTGATATTATCTCTTCCTTAGGCTTACATAGCCTTAAATTGGCTCTAAGAAATGCTGATTTGGCTTTATTATTTTTCTATTTGCATTATCAATACAGACCGAGAATATCATACTTTTCTTAGAATCTTGTATGCCAAAAAATACAGATGTGGCCCTTGGAAGTTCTTTGGAAAAGCTTGAGTTTTCTTATTTCAATCATGAGAATATAATATCTTTCAGTCTTCTTAAAATTTCCCTAAAATTTTGTGCATTAAGCAGCCATAAAATATTTTCTAATCTCAATTCTTAAATAGAAATGTTGTATTATTTCAGAAAATGTTCAGACTGATTTTTTTTTTTTTTAAAGCCATCTGAGATACCCAAGTAGTAGAATCCTTTCAAGCACTGGTTACTGGTGATGAATTTTGTTTTGTACTGTCACAGAGCTGGAAATTTTTGGATCCTTTTAGTTCATCTGATTTAGGTTATAAATTATGATGGTTGTTCCTTCTTACCCCCAACCTGACAACTATTAACATGATGTACACTCATTTTAAAATAGTTTTGCAGTCTGTTTTCTCTATTGAGTGGCTACATTGTGTTATTAAATGTGTATATTTATATCGAATACAGATGTTCAATAATATATCTGTAATGTACATATGTGTTGCTAAATGTAGATACAGAAGAAACTATATGGAGTCTGATAATTAAATGATTATTAAATGATACTTGTAATGAAAGTCTGCCCCAAAAAGTGACCAGATTTTTATTGGGGTTGCTGTGTATCTCCAGGAAGAAGAGGAGGGGTCAGAAGACGATAGCAATGTGAAGCCAGACTTCATGGTCACTCTGAAAACCGATTTCAGTGCACGATGCTTTCTGGACCAATTCGAAGATGACGCTGATGGATTTATTTCCCCAATGGATGATAAAATACCATCAAAATGCAGCCAGGACACAGGGCTTTCAAATCTCCATGCTGCCTCAATGTATGTCATTTTGGTGGTGGTGGTGAAATGTTTTGGTAAAAATAGCTCACTTAAATATTATCTTAGCCTTTGTATCTAAATAAATTAGCTGATAAAATACAAGTGACTACCTGGGGTGTATCTGGATAAAACGGTGATTTTTTAAAAAATTTCTTTTTTTATATGCTTCAGCCCATGTTATTTGAGGGAACTTTTGAGTCTTGTTTAAACAACCAGAAGTTCTCTCTCTAAAGGGCATCGTGTGGTTCTGTACATCACAGCCCATCACTTAACACACGCTGAGCACAGATGTCATCTCTTTCTTTCAAAGAAAAATATGACAAAGTGCCATGGGATTTCACAAGGGCTAAGAATTCCCAAGTAGCAGGAACCCCCAGAAGCTGGATCTGTTGCCAGCATGTTTGGCTTTCAGGAAATGGAAAACATGCATTTCCGCGCCCCCTCAATGCTCTCAGCAGTTTCTGCATTTACTTGCCTCCCCTTTCTGCACAGCTCCTGTTGAGTTACACATTCATCACATTTATGACAACTCAAATTTAACTTAATTTCCTTGCAATGCTTCCTCTCTCTTAGACCTGAACTCCTGGAACACCTCCAGGAAATGAGAGAAGAAAAGAAAAGGATTCGAAAGAAACTTCGGGATTTTGAAGACAACTTTTTCAGACAGAATGGAAGGTAGTGCCTGTCTTCCCCCACCCTCCCTTCCCCCCCGCCGCACCACACACACCCATCCCTCTTGTTTTTCTGTCAGATCTGTGGAATGCCTTCAAAGGGGGGACTCTTCTGCATCCTCCCTGTAACCTGGTCCTTGGGTTTGTGCCCAGGGACACTTAGAGGTTGACTGTGAGATGATGGGATTTGTGTGGACCTCCCAGAAGAAATGCTCTTTGGGTAATGCCCAAGACTAATGCAGATTCAGCTGACATTTATGAAATGAACCTGTCCCATCAAATTCTTATCTACAATGAGCAGCAGGAAGCTGCGTTTCCCGCTGGTGGTGGCACCAACGCTTTTTTCTTAAGAAGCTAGAGGTTAGCCAAGCGGCCGTAGTGGCACACCTGTAGCTCTAGCTACTTGGGAGGCTAAGGCAGGAGGATTGCTTGAACCCAGGAGTTTGAGGCTGCAGGGAGCTGTGGTCTGCTACTGCACTCTATTCTGGGCAATAGAGTGAGACTTCATTTCTAAATAAAAGGAGCTAGAGAAACAAGGGAAAGAGAGATCTAAGTATTACTGATTTTCAAGCTCATTTCAAAAATGAAGGTGATAATTGCCAAGTTTAAATGAAAAATATGTATGAAAATCAGTAAGTCGGCCAGGCGTGGTGGCTCACGCCTGTAATCCTAGCACTTTGGGAGGTCAAGGAGGGTGGATTACATGAGGTAAGGAGTTCAAGACCAGCCTGACCAACATGGTGAAACCCCATCTCTACTAAAAATACAAAAAATTAGCCGGGTGCAGTAGCACAGGCCTGTAATCCCAGCTACTCGAGGCTGAGGCAAGAGAATCACTTGAACCCGGGAGGCCAAGGTTGCAGTGAGCCGAGATCACGCCACTGCACTGCAGCCTGGGCTACAGAGCAAGACTTCGTCTCAAAAAAAACAAAGAAAAGAAAAGCAGTAAATCTACCTGGTTGATGGGCTGCCTCTCGCCAGTGAATTTTAAGGCACAATTTAGTCTTTCATGTTTACAAGCAACAGCACACAAAAATCTTACCGAAAGTCACAGTAGGAGCCTGAGGAAAGAACCAGGAACAGATTTGCATCTCTTACATTGGAGTTAGGTTTTATCATTTTAAATTGGATTTAACCCAGATTACTGAAGCTATGTAAGTATTGTTTCTCTTGAGTCCTCTTTTATACTTCTTGAAAGTTTGGGGAAATGAAAGCACCATAAAAATTAACTTTGTCATTTAAAATATATTGTATTTCAGTTTAGTTTAACAATTATTGTATGAATTTACTTTTAGGATCTCTGATTTGGATATGTCTCATATATTTTTATACCTAAACACTTGCTTTTCATTTCCCACCCATTGCACAGTATTTAGAAAATATAGGTAAGCAAATTTAAGTAGTAATTCCCAAAACAATAATAACCAAAGACAAGTCAGAATTAATGTTTTGACGTGTATCTTTCCAGTCTTTCATCTAAGCCTATTTTTTGGCTTATCCTTTTTTATATTATTCTAAGTCACATTATGCACAGATATCTTATACATGTAGAATTACGCAAACCACCCAGGTTTTAAGAAAATGTCAATGGAGGACGTTAACTTAATTGTCAAAAAAGTTTAGAACTATGAGGGACTTAGGAGATAAGCTCTGGTTCCATGACTTCGTGTCTGAGGAGAGTGAAGCCCCTCAGAGTGCAGTGGGGGCCTGCGTGCCAGATGCTCCAATTCCTGAGCACCTGTTCCTTGCCCTGCCCTCTGCTGAGAAGCCACTAGAATCCTTTCCTAGAACAAGGCAGGGTATGAATAAGATCAGTTTATTTTTAGGTCATTGAACAAATCAAGCCCCATGCTATCCTCCTTACCCATATTTGCCCTTTAATAATAAAGGCAGGAAGCCTATGGTTGAATGTTTGCCATGTGCAATTTCCCATAAAACACAAAGCAGCAGCGCACCGCGTGGTGGCCAAGAGCAGGCAAGTTATCTGATTTCCTGTGCTGGTTTCATCATGTGTAGTGTGTAGAAAATGGCTGCATCTCATCAAGGTGTTATAAGGGTTCTATCAGATCATGGGTACAAAGTACTTAGCACAGGGCTTGACCTATAAGCTCTCAAATACTTGTGCATATAAATATTATGTATGTAAAGTTACTCAATAATAAAGGCTTATTATAATAGTATTATGTAATCCAGCTGCTGAATTCTAACACAGTTTTATGATAAGTAGGAGTATTAACTATCTGTTTTTGGAAAAAAAAAAAAAAAAAAAAACTAAGTTGTGGACCAGTTGCTAATTAAAAATTTAAAATTTCACGAGATGAAATATATAAGAATGAGAAAACATTAAGTATGAATAAAAGATTTTGGTGTATGAGAGCTCAATGTGAATTCATACTTAGCAGAGAGAATTTCTGCATTTCTTAGCCTTCTTATCATACAGGATGCCAGATTAACTATATAAAAACTCAGTTGCATGTTGCCTTCTGGGTGAAACATTTTCATTACTTGTCTAAATCCAGCCCCAGTCTTGAGACCAAGGGCCACTCGGCAACACTGATTCTACAAGTTGATAAACTGCAAAGTTTCTAAACAATGATAATTTGCCCGATGAATAGTATCTAGCAAAGACAGAAAATGATCCTCAGACCCCTTTTTCCTTTATTTGCATTAGAAATGTCCAGAAGGAAGACCGCACTCCTATGGCTGAAGAATACAGTGAATATAAGCACATAAAGGCGAAACTGAGGCTCCTGGAGGTGCTCATCAGCAAGAGAGACACTGATTCCAAGTCCATGTGAGGGGCATGGCCAAGCACAGGGGGCTGGCAGCTGCGGTGAGAGTTTACTGTCCCCAGAGAAAGTGCAGCTCTGGAAGGCAGCCTTGGGGCTGGCCCTGCAAAGCATGCAGCCCTTCTGCCTCTAGACCATTTGGCATCGGCTCCTGTTTCCATTGCCTGCCTTAGAAACTGGCTGGAAGAAGACAATGTGACCTGACTTAGGCATTTTGTAATTGGAAAGTCAAGACTGCAGTATGTGCACATGCGCACGCGCATGCACGCACACACACACACAGTAGTGGAGCTTTCCTAACACTAGCAGAGATTAATCACTACATTAGACAACACTCATCTACAGAGAATATACACTGTTCTTCCCTGGATAACTGAGAAACAAGAGACCATTCTCTGTCTAACTGTGATAAAAACAAGCTCAGGACTTTATTCTATAGAGCAAACTTGCTGTGGAGGGCCATGCTCTCCTTGGACCCAGTTAACTGCAAACGTGCATTGGAGCCCTATTTGCTGCCGCTGCCATTCTAGTGACCTTTCCACAGAGCTGCGCCTTCCTCACGTGTGTGAAAGGTTTTCCCCTTCAGCCCTCAGGTAGATGGAAGCTGCATCTGCCCACGATGGCAGTGCAGTCATCATCTTCAGGATGTTTCTTCAGGACTTCCTCAGCTGACAAGGAATTTTGGTCCCTGCCTAGGACCGGGTCATCTGCAGAGGACAGAGAGATGGTAAGCAGCTGTATGAATGCTGATTTTAAAACCAGGTCATGGGAGAAGAGCCTGGAGATTCTTTCCTGAACACTGACTGCACTTACCAGTCTGATTTTATCGTCAAACACCAAGCCAGGCTAGCATGCTCATGGCAATCTGTTTGGGGCTGTTTTGTTGTGGCACTAGCCAAACATAAAGGGGCTTAAGTCAGCCTGCATACAGAGGATCGGGGAGAGAAGGGGCCTGTGTTCTCAGCCTCCTGAGTACTTACCAGAGTTTAATTTTTTTAAAAAAAATCTGCACTAAAATCCCCAAACTGACAGGTAAATGTAGCCCTCAGAGCTCAGCCCAAGGCAGAATCTAAATCACACTATTTTCGAGATCATGTATAAAAAGAAAAAAAAGAAGTCATGCTGTGTGGCCAATTATAATTTTTTTCAAAGACTTTGTCACAAAACTGTCTATATTAGACATTTTGGAGGGACCAGGAAATGTAAGACACCAAATCCTCCATCTCTTCAGTGTGCCTGATGTCACCTCATGATTTGCTGTTACTTTTTTAACTCCTGCGCCAAGGACAGTGGGTTCTGTGTCCACCTTTGTGCTTTGCGAGGCCGAGCCCAGGCATCTGCTCGCCTGCCACGGCTGACCAGAGAAGGTGCTTCAGGAGCTCTGCCTTAGACGACGTGTTACAGTATGAACACACAGCAGAGGCACCCTCGTATGTTTTGAAAGTTGCCTTCTGAAAGGGCACAGTTTTAAGGAAAAGAAAAAGAATGTAAAACTATACTGACCCGTTTTCAGTTTTAAAGGGTCGTGAGAAACTGGCTGGTCCAATGGGATTTACAGCAACATTTTCCATTGCTGAAGTGAGGTAGCAGCTCTCTTCTGTCAGCTGAATGTTAAGGATGGGGAAAAAGAATGCCTTTAAGTTTGCTCTTAATCGTATGGAAGCTTGAGCTATGTGTTGGAAGTGCCCTGGTTTTAATCCATACACAAAGACGGTACATAATCCTACAGGTTTAAATGTACATAAAAATATAGTTTGGAATTCTTTGCTCTACTGTTTACATTGCAGATTGCTATAATTTCAAGGAGTGAGATTATAAATAAAATGATGCACTTTAGGATGTTTCCTATTTTTGAAATCTGAACATGAATCATTCACATGACCAAAAATTGTGTTTTTTTAAAAATACATGTCTAGTCTGTCCTTTAATAGCTCTCTTAAATAAGCTATGATATTAATCAGATCATTACCAGTTAGCTTTTAAAGCACATTTGTTTAAGACTATGTTTTTGGAAAAATACGCTACAGAATTTTTTTTTAAGCTACAAATAAATGAGATGCTACTAATTGTTTTGGAATCTGTTGTTTCTGCCAAAGGTAAATTAACTAAAGATTTATTCAGGAATCCCCATTTGAATTTGTATGATTCAATAAAAGAAAACACCAAGTAAGTTATATAAAATAAATTGTGTATGAGATGTTGTGTTTTCCTTTGTAATTTCCACTAACTAACTAACTAACTTATATTCTTCATGGAATGGAGCCCAGAAGAAATGAGAGGAAGCCCTTTTCACACTAGATCTTATTTGAAGAAATGTTTGTTAGTCAGTCAGTCAGTGGTTTCTGGCTCTGCCGAGGGAGATGTGTTCCCCAGCAACCATTTCTGCAGCCCAGAATCTCAAGGCACTAGAGGCGGTGTCTTAATTAATTGGCTTCACAAAGACAAAATGCTCTGGACTGGGATTTTTCCTTTGCTGTGTTGGGAATATGTGTTTATTAATTAGCACATGCCAACAAAATAAATGTCAAGAGTTATTTCATAAGTGTAAGTAAACTTAAGAATTAAAGAGTGCAGACTTATAATTTTCATAAGTACTTTTATTGTGTTCAGTCTGGCGTAAACGTTGAAATAGATGTTTATATTAAGTATGATATCATTATGTTTCATCTTTGAATCATTTAGTTCAGATTCACTTTCTAAGACTTGTAGGTGCAAGATTTAGGATAAGGGACAGCTTAGAAGTTTTTCAAGATGGTAGAAGTTTGTCCTGTGCTGCTTTAAAAAAAATAATAAAAATTTAAAAAGCTAGCACAATTTTGGTGACCTCCCAAATGAGGGAAAATTTCCGTGAAAGACCAAATTTCAAACTGGAGTACTAAAAATTATTTTTTTAATTACCAGCTAGGATGTTGTCAGCTGTTAAGATTTCTTCCATTTGCCTACCAGTTCAAAGTCAAAAGAAGATTATTACTCATTGCAGGGATCAGTGA
Organism: Homo sapiens; assembly: GCF_000001405.40. Classification (NCBI taxonomy): domain Eukaryota; kingdom Metazoa; phylum Chordata; class Mammalia; order Primates; family Hominidae; genus Homo; species Homo sapiens. The sequence goes on along the minus strand of NC_000004.12, from coordinate 88,725,551 downwards.
TGTCTCTGTAACATCAGTGTAATTTTTGCTTTGTCTCATAATTCATTGCTTGGGTGGCAGCGGAATAGCCTCTTGCAGGGTGTGCCTGCTCCCAGGTGTGACATTTCCAGCCAAGGACAAATGCCTCAAAGCTGTGTTGTGTCATAAATGCCGCACTAAGGTATCCCAAGACCAGCAGTCTTGGAACCCCGAGGGCTGAGCATTTGTAAATGTGGTTGAGCTTAGAATTCCTTATAAGGTGAATATTTAGGTTTGTTATCATCATAAAGGGATGGCCATGGTGCTAATCAAGCTGGTTCTGCCCAGGGGTTGCCTAGTTCTCAAGAGACGACAGAATTGGGCCCTGTGTCCAGAACTAATCACAGAGTTTAACTTTTTGGATAATTTTTGGTTTTAGAGCTTTTTAATCTGATAAACATGCCATTTTCTTAAGAGTAACACCTTATGCTTTTGGTGGTATATTTATTTATAGTTGAACACCATAAACTGCTAACAGCTTTGTGAAAGCTAGCTGTAGTCTAAATTCTGTTTTGCTTTCAAGAGGGGTCTTCCTGACACACTGCTTGCTAGCTTATTTTCCCCTAGTCAGGGAGAGGTGGTTTCTGCACCAAGATCAATGCCTCTGTGATATTTTTTCAGTATCCACTTAGTTAAATCAATGAGGAGGGACAAACTATACTACAGTCTTGAAGCACTGTTTCCTCTGAAGCTCTTGTGTTTGACAGAACTCAGAAAGTGCTTTCCTTTCCTTCATTAATTTCCTTTTACTGTTTTTTTTCCACTTGACACTCACTCAAAATATATACTAAAGAGTAGACTGGCTAAACATATTTTCAAATTTTTATATATTCAAATTGTGCACACTGGCTCTACTTTAAGTGGTGACCAACACAGCACACACCAAACAGAGTCACGTATAAATGCTGGGCACTGCACAGTGGCACTGGCCACTTTCCCAAGCAGAGATCACGTGTGTGCCTCAAAACACAGGTTTGGCAAATCCTCCAACTGAAAACACCTATACAGTCATGAAAATCTCCACAAATAATAGTTTTTGTAAAAAATATGGGCTCCTAACAATATTTACATGACATGTAAGCAGAAGGCATTTGAAATTACCATTGTCCTTTTTAAAAATGTAAACTGAACAAAAAACATTTTATACATGACTATTTTGTATAAATGTAAAATATTTTAAACTATGAAAGTGCTAGAATTTTTGACAGTGGCATCAGGATCAGGGTCTGACCTTTCCCTTCTTTAAGTAATCCTGTGACTCCCTGGAGCCCCTCAGAAGCCTCCTGAGGATTAAGTTTTGTTGTTCTAGCTCCAGGCAGGGCACTGGAAGGTGATGCGAGCTGAGCATACACTTCAGGCATGTCCGTTTTGCAGCTAGAAAAATGGGCTTGTGCTCTCATGGCTCAGTTGCCTTTAAAAAATTCATAGAAAGCACTGGAGAAGTGCAGAAATGAGGGAATTAAAGCAAATTTTTAAAAATTAAGTACATCTCCCAAGCCAATGAGGCCATCATGAATAAATACATTAGCCATTTACTATTCTGAAACTAGTAAGGCCACCAGAGAACTGAGAGACTTGCAGAAACACACATTTCAGTCGTGTGGAGGGAGCACCTCACCCTTTGCACTGCCTGTTCCTTCCTATCCCTGGCCAAGTGTGCCCTCCTCGCTCAGGCCTCGAATAGCCTGGAGAGTTGGGCAGCAGGAGTTCCATGCCTCACCTGACAGCTGGGGACACAAAGCTGCCATGGTGGGTAGGCATGCAGTGTCCTTCATGTGCTGCTACACATTCTCTAAGTGACAGAAAGTAACCATTAGAAATATGCTAAGCCTGAAATTAAAAAATAAAAAAAGGCTGGAATAAGGTCCTAGTGCTAAAACAAGGATTCAAACTCAAATCTGTCTGACTTCGGAGTACAAAGATGCAATACTGCTAACACAGATGCAAGTTAATGCTGTCCTGCCAAAACTGAAGCTCACCCTGAATAATTTTGGTAACTCTGGGCTCAAGTAATAAAATTTGGGCAGAAATGACAAGCTATATTTAGTGATTCTCACTTTCTTTAATCTTCTGATGTTGCCTCTTTTGAGGGACCAGAAAGTTACACAAGCCCAAGTACACCAGGTTCCACAGCCTAGTACAAAGCCTGATGTCCTCTGAACCCCCCAACAATGTCTTCACTTCTAATCCTATCATAATTTGCAGAACTGTGAAGTACCTGAATGGAAATTTCAGAATGGAGACCCACACAGGGTGGGGGTGGGCTGAGGAGAGGCATGCCCTCCCAATGGCCTTACTACCTCTTCCAGCCATGGATTCTGAATCCTGTAAGACAAAAGTACATCAGAGTCATCCCTGACTGGGTCAGCTCACCAAGGCTATATATACACAGAATTTCACATTCAGTAAAAGTCAAAATTCCCAAATGCAGTCTTAGAATCCTGGCAGGCACACAGACAAATGGGGCTTGGCAGGTCTGGGATTGTTGACAGCTTGGTCCTCACTCTTCCCCTCCAGCCACAAGGCTTAGACAGCAAGGGTGACTCCGTGTTATGCTGCAGCTGCCCGGAGACAGGGCCCAATGCAAACCTCAGCAAGAACTCAGTTCTGACACCAAGAAGATCCCCATGTTACTATGAATTCTGAAATTATAATCTTTTAGATGTCTGGATTTTTCTTTAATTTCTGTAAAGCAATTCAAAGATGCACAGAAATCTTCATGTCAAGCTTCTGATCCTACAGCTTTGAGTATTTCTTGGTAAGCCATTTTGAGGCACTATGATTTTCTATAACTTTTAAATAATTTAAAATTACCAAACAAGATGAGACGAAGGGGAGGAAGAGAGTAAAGGATACATTCCTCCGTAGTGGCAGAAAGCAGTGCGGCTCAAACTTGGATGCACATGCGCCTGCCTGGGGATCTTGTGCTGTAGCTCCAGGGAGTGCCTGATGTTCTGCATTGCTGACAAGCAGCCAGGTGCTGCCGTGTTGCTCGTCCAGGGACCTCACTTTAAATAGAGGGTGCAGACTGCATCCTGGGTGTTTGTGAAAATGAGCAGCTCCACCCATTAATCCAAAACCCTGAGTTAACAGAGACCAGCACATTTGACAACACCCTCGGAGGCCGAATGCTGCCTCAATGCTTGAGATGCAGACAGATGGCTCAGCTGTACGATTTGGGTTACTTACCCTCCAGAAATCTGTTTCTTTTTCTGAAAAGCGGTACCCATGTAATCAGGTGATTATGAAAATTTACTTGGATGACTGTAAAGTGACCACACAGTAAATCCTTAATAGATGATGGTAGATGGGGTGGTTACTGTCATCAGCCATCAAGGCAAAGATTCTTCCTATCTTGAAGTCCAGCAACACATTCTGAATCCCTGCAAAAAACGAACTGTATTTCCTGGTATCATTTCCCCCACCATCACCCTCTGATCCTTGTTTGTGTGAATCAGAAAGAGAATACAAGTTATTGCTAGCAGGATGAGCAAGGTTCCATGGGAACATCATCCCATTCTCTTGGGGGAATAAGATAAATTGTGACTATTACTATTTTCCAGCAAATCACATCAAAACTTGTGCCACCTTCTTAGAAAAATTAATCCTTGCTAAATTCCTTCTCTCACAGAGCAGGGAAAACCCCTCTAAGCCCACTTCTCCTCAAAACATTTTGGGAGGTCCAGATCTGCTCCAACATGTAAAAAGAATAAACCATTGAGATGGCAGCTGAGACCAACATGGAAATGCCTGAGCTGTGTGGAGTGAAGGAACAGAGTAACCTTTGGATGGATTTCAAAGTCACTTAAGTGTCCCAAAATTTCTGTCTCAGGGTGTATTTTTAACAACTGAAAACTAAACGTCCCCTTGGGAGGGGAGTTGCTCTGATTTTGGCAGCTCCTAATCAACATACTAAATTTCATCGAAACCTGTGGCCAAGGCTGACATTAAGAAGGGACCTGGGGTCCTCCACTCCCTCATCAACCCGTACAGGGGACAACCTGAAGGTGCCATTGCCGAGGCCAGCAATAGGGCAAGCTTTCCCATTCAGGTGACTTTGCAGTCTCATTGAATGAGGCTTTGCGTCCCTCCTCTCATTACCTCAGACACTTAGAACTTCTAGGTCTTTTCTCCAATCTGCCAGTGACTTGAACTTGAGAGTCCCTGAACCTGGTTCACAAACATCTGAGTTCCGGAGAACGCCCAGGCATGAAAGGCCAAGAGACTCATTTTTTAACCAAAACAAGACGCTTGGGCTGTGGCAGGCCAGCTCTGCTGGGACCAGAAGCCAGTACCTAGTTGGCACCTGCTGCCGACCTTCGTCCTCAAGAGCACCAGCCTCTTATGACCCAGTAGGGAATGGGGTTACAGTGTTTCAGAATCTGCTCTTGCTTTCTGATCCTCCTAATCCTGAAGAAAAGGTGACCACGAAAGACTAATCTGGTTTAGTGTTTGGCTCCATCTGAGGGTGTGTGGGTGTGTATTTTAATTCTTGTTTAAGTTTCTCAGTAAGTTCAACACCAGCAGGAGCTGAATCAGTAATTATCATAGACTGTCTCCAACTCTCATGGGATTAGGCCCAGGAAAATCAGCTTTTAGAAGATCTGAAGACCATGTGATTCTGTGCCCTGCCAAGTATCCAGCCACGCTGGAGGGGGAAACAAAAAAGATGACATCTGGATTAATTTTCTTGGTGCTACACATAACTAAGGAGTACACACTCCATTATTTTGGGAGGAAATAAAGCACCAAAGCCTGGACTAGCTAATCCACGGGAGAGGCTGTTATTAATACAGATCCAAAGAGTCTGCCCACACTGTAGTGGATGCCTCTTCCAGCACCTATTCTGTTGTATATCCCAGTATCTCACTGCACAAGTAAAGGGCACTACAGATGTTAATGCAAATCCATGCCTGATCAGTGTGGACAAGCAGCCCTGCCTGCATCTGAGGCAGTCTGTGTTAGCATCCCTAAGGAGAGAACTGTAGTCAGAGAGCAACATTTGCCACCCGCTCCACGGGGCTCTGCTCTCATGGGATTCATTCATCACTCATTACCAAAAACCTGGATTGGAAGGCACTGTGGTAGGTTCTGTGTCACTTCCCACTGGAGAACTCCCTTGGTCCAAAATCAGTAGGATAATGTTCACCGTTTTTGAAGAACACAAGGACCTGCTCTCTTTGTCCTCTTCCTTATCACAAACTCCTGTTCTGCTTTGTGAGATCCTATTCCCCAACAGAAGTCTGTAAGTGGAGCCCAGGAATGGTCCCTATCAATACTCCACAAAGGCACCTCAAAAATGGAGACATTCACAGAGCAGAGTACTCATAACTCATGGAACCTCTGCCACTAACGAAGTTAAGTTAAAGGTAACGTAGGCATCACACTTAGGCACTTTAGAGATGTAGTTTAAAATTTGCTTGGTTACATTTTAAGAGTCAAAGACGACAAGACGACCAACACATACATTTCTCATTAAAAGAAAATAATGAAATTCTGAAGAGTAGCTTTGATTTTAATGAAAGTATTTGTTTTTCCTCCAATACTTCACCCTAACATGAAGTATTCTATTCATTGGGTTTCACTGCAAACATATTTTGCTATTCCAGTGTATGCCTCCCTTCACTTTAATCTCTATCATCTGATTAACTACTATGTGTCCATTAATTCCAAACTATGATTCTGGAAGAAATGAACAGATACTAAGCAAAAAAAAAATTTCCAAAGGATGGGGGATTCCGTGGAAAACTAAATTTGAGAGGAGGTGGAGGGGGGGAGGAAACGAAGGAAAAGAAGAAGGGGAAGAATGAGAAGGAAGAGAAGGAGGAGGAGAAGAAGGAGAAGAAAAAAGGAGGAGGAGAGGAGAAAAGGAGGAGGAGGAGAAGAAAAGAAGGAGAAGAAAGAAGGAGAAGGAGGAGGAGAAAGAGAAGGGGGGGAGAAGGAGGAGGAGAAGAAGGAGAAAGGAAAGAGAAGAAGGAGGAGGAGAAAAAGATAGAGGAAGGAGGAGAAGGAGGAGAAGGGAAGGAGAAAGAGGAGGAGGAGGAGAAGGGAAGGAGGAGGAGGAGGAGAAAAAGGACAAGGAGAAGTAGGAGGAGACAGAAAAAGGAGAAGGAAGAGGAGGAGAAGGAAGAAGAAGAAGAAAGAACTAGTAGTCGTTGTGCAATAAAGTTTAACTTTCTTTAAATTAGAGACAGCCAAACTTATATAATACAAATCTCCTTTTTCTTCCTTATTCAAAGTATTTTTCCCACAGGAAGATCTGCTTTTTGCCAACTATTGAGGCCTCAATGCTTACTCATACTGCTGAGAACACAGAGCTGCTTGCTGAGGAAGGGCCCAACTGTGTGCTGATGGTCTCCCAGGGCCCATGGAGTGGCCTGATGACTTACCTGCCTGCCCGAAGAGGCCCTTCACTTTACCCTATGTCCCAAGATTGTACAGCATGACTGTCTGGGGAGGTGGAGGGGCACAGAGGATTTGTACTCTCATATCTAGCCAGAGACAAAGCCTGGAATCCCAATATTTACTAAAAGCCTGTTGAAATACATGCACTGTGGGATCCTCAATTAGACCTTGGGACAGACATCAGTGGAAAAACTGGTAAAATCAAAAAAAAAGAGTGAAGTTTCATGAATAGTAATTTCCCAATATTGGTTCCTTGGTTTGATAACTATACCACGGTGCTATGTTAACATTTGGGGATACTGAGTGAAAAATCAAATAACTCTGTATTATTTCTGCTACTTTTCTATAGATCTAAAATTATTCAAAAATAGAGTTTCAGAGTGATATTAGCAAGATGGTGGAACAGACAATCCCCCAGCATCACGTCCCTGACAAAAATACAATTAGAAACCATTCAATGACAAGAATACCACCATGAATATACCAGAACTCAGAGGGGAAGCAGAGAAACCACCAAGGCACACAGAATTGAGAGAAGCCATGACAGGTAGGATGAACAGTCATTTAACACTGTGCCACCCCTTCCCCTAAGCTGGCATAGTACCACTCACAGAGATTTTCCCTAGACCCATGGTTGCTAGTGAAGGAGGGAATTGGAGGTGAATATTCGATCTCCCCACTGGTCTAGGAATCTTCATGCGAAGTCCATTCTGGTCCTATTTGATCAGAACCATTGGGAGTGTCAGGAAAGCTTAACTACTTGGGGTGAGGTGGAAACAATGACCTGGGTGTTCATCACAGAAAGCTGATCTCAGCACTCTGATCAGTGGGGATGCCAAGTTAAACAAACTGGCCAGGACCATAGTGCCTCAGGGGCACAATCCAGAGGAAGGCCCAAATCCCCAGCTGGGTTTTCCACAAATCCCAGGTGCGTGAGTGGAGCCTTCCTCTAGCTCAGAAACAACTAAAAGGTCGAGATTAAGTTCCAGTGCCCATTTAAGTCTTCCCCAGACTGGAAAACAACGGCAGGGCAGCAGTGTTGTTTCAGGGCAGCATTTAAACTCTGGTATTTGCTATAAGTCTTCTCCAGACAAGGAAACAATGGCAAGGCAGCAATTTAGTTCCAGAACATCATTTAATTTTTGATATTCACTGTGCCTTTGCGAGACTGGAAATGACAACAGGGCAACAAGTTCATTCCAGTACAGTCGTTTAGTTCTGGTGCTCAATATAAGTCCTCCCCAGAATGGGAAGTGAAATTTGAAAAACAATCCAGAAACAAAAAGAGACAATGACAAAGAAATAGAAAAAATTAAAAGAAATCAAAGAGAAATCCTAAAACTAAGAATACAATAACTGAACTGAAAAACTCCTGAGAAAGCTTTAACGGCAGACTTGATTAAACAGAGGAAATAATTAGCAAGCTTTAAGCCAGAACATATGAAATTACCCAGTCAGAGGAGTAAACAGAAAAGAGAATGAAAACAGTGAAGAAGGCCTACAAAAAATTATGTTACACCATCAAGTGTACTAACCTCCATGTAATTGGAATTCCCACAGCAGACAAGGAAAAAAAAGGCCTAGAAAGTATATTTAAAGAATGAATGGCTGAAAATTTCCCAAATTTAGAGAAAGACGAACAGCATCCAGGTACAGAAGCTGAGAAGTCACCAATCAAATTCAAATGAAAGAGGAATTCTCCCCAAGGCACATCATAATCAAATTAGCCAAAATCAAAGACAAAGAGAAAAAAACTCCAATCAGCAAGATAAAAGAAACATACCACATCCAATACAGCTTTCAGCAGACTTCTCAGTGGAAACCCTACAGGCCAGGAAAGGGCATGATGTTATATTCAAAGTGCTGAAGAAAATGTCAACCAAGAATACCCTACCCAGCAAAGCTATCCTTAAAACACAAAGGATAAGAAACACAAACATACATACAAAAGCTGAGGGAATTAATCAACACCATACCCATTTTATAAGAAATGCTAAACAGAGTTCTGCAATCTGAATATAATGGGTGCTAACATGTAATAGGAAAACATCTAGCTGGATATGGTGGCTCATACCTGTAATCCCAGCACTTTGGGAGGCTGAGGTGGGCGGATCACTTGAGGCCAAGAGTTTAAGACCAGCATGGCCAACATGGCAAAATCCCATCTCTATTAAAAAAAAAAAAGTAATAAACAAGACATCTGAAGGTATAAAACTCACTGGTAAAAGTAATAGACAAAATCAGAATAATACTGTAAATGTGGAAAGTAAACCGCTTATATCACAAGTCTGAAAACTAAAAGACAAAACTATTAAAAACAATAATAACTGTACAAATTGGTTAAGGATAGGCAATATAAAAACATGTAAATTTTTTAACAAAAAGTCAAAATGTGGGGGGTGGATTAGACTAGAGTTTATTTTTCATAGTTTTCCTTGTAATAAAAGTTAAATCATTATCAGTTTAAAATAACCTGTTACAATTCTTAGATGTTTTTGTAAGCCTCTTGGTAACCACAAAGCAAAAACCTATAATAGATGTGCTAAAAATAAAGAGCATAGAATCAAAACACGTTACTAGAGGAAATCACTTAATCACAAAGAAATATAGGAGGAAAGGAAAAACAGAAGAAAGGATCTACAAAACAACCTAGAAACAAGTAACAAAATGGCAGTAGTAAACCCTTAACTATCAATAATAGTCTTGACTGTAAAGGGATTAAATTCTTAAACTAAAAGACATCCAGAGGCTGAATGGATTTTTTTTAAAAAATACAAGACCAAAGTCTATGCTGTCTATAAGAAACTCACTTCACCTATAAAGACACCCAGACTGAAAGTGAAGATATGGAAAAAGATATTCCATGCAAATGAAAACCAAAAAAGAGCAGGAGTAGCTACAATTATATCAGATTAAGAATGATTAAAAAAAAAAGACAAAAAGGATCCCTTTATAATGATAAAGGGGTCAATTCAGCAAGAGGATGTAACAATTGTAATATGTATCCAACACCAGTGCACCCAAATATATAATACCAATATTAATAAACCTAAAGGGAGAAACTGAATGCAATACAATAATAGAGGACTTCAATAACTCACTTTCAGCAATGGGCAGGTAATTCTGACAGAAAATTAACAAGGAACATTGGAGTTAAATCGCATTTCAGATCAAACAGACCTAATAGACACTTACGGAACACTCCATCGAACAGCTGCAGAATACATATTTTTCTCAAAAGCAAATGGAACATTCTCCAAGACAGACCCAATTCTTAACAAATTTTTATTTTTATTTATTATTTTTTTTTTTTTGAGATGGAGTCTCGCTCTGTTGACCAGGCTAGAGTGCGGTGGCACGATCTCGGCTCACTGCAAGCTCCACCTCCCGGGTTCACTCCATTCTCCTGCCTCAGCCTCCCGAGTAGCTGGGACTACAGACGCCTGCCACCACACCTGGCTAATTTTTTGCATTTTTACTAGAGACGGGGTTTCACCGTGTTAGCCAGGATGGTCTCGATCTCCTGACTGTGATCCGCCCACCTCGGCCTCCCAAAGTGTTGGGATTACAGGCATGAGCCACCACGCCCGGCCAACAAAGTTTTAAAAGTTGAAATCATATCAAGTATCTTTTCTGACCACAATGGAATAAAACTAGAAATCAATAACAGAAATAATGTTGGAAACTGTACAAATTCATGAAAATTAACATGCTTCTGAACAATCAATGGGTCTATGAAGAAATTTAAAAGGAAATCTAAAAATTCCTTGTGACAAATGAAAATGTAAGCACAACATACCAAAACCTATGTGATACAGCAAAAACAGTTCTAATGGGGAAGTTTATAGGAATAAACACCTCCATCAAAAAATAGAAGTATTTCAAATAAACAGTCTAACCATGCACCTCAAGGAAACAGAAAAGCAAGAACAAACCAAACCCAAAATTAGTAGAAGGAAAGAAATAATAAAGATCAGAGCAGAAATAAATTGAGACTAAAAAAAATACAGAAGAACAAAAGTTGTTTTTTTAAAAAAATAAGCAAAATCAACACACCATTATGTAGACTATTTAAGAAAAAAAGCGAGAAGGCCCAAATAAATAAAATCAGAGAAAAAAAAAGAAGACATTACAACTTATACCACAAAAATACAAAGAATCATTAGGACCATTATGAACTATATGACAACAAATTAGAAAACCTAGGAAAAAAAGATAAATTCCTAAATACATATAACCTACTAGGATTGAACTATGCAGAAATACGAAACCTGTAAGACCAACAATGAGTAACAAGATTGAACCAGTAATAAATCTTCCCATCAAAAAAAACAAATCAAAACAACACAAAAAAACCCAGAACCTGACAGATTCACTGTTGAATTCTACCAAACATTTAAAGAAGAGCTAATACCATTTCTATCCAAACTATTCTAGAGAATTAAAGAGAAGGGAATACTTCTATGAGGCCAGCATTACCCTGATATCCAAACCAGACAAGGATATAACAAAAAAATGATCTGATGTCTCTGATGAACATAGATGCAAAAAATCCTCAAGAAAATACAAGCAAACTAAATTCAACAACACATTAGAAAGATCTCACATGATCAAGTAAGATTCATCCCAAGGATACAAGGATAACATAAACAAATCTATAAACGCAATACATCACATTAACAGAATCAAGAAAAACCATAAAATCATTTCAACAGGTGCTGAATAAAGTATTCACTAAAATTCAACATCCCTTCATAATAAAAACTCTCAAAAAACTAGGTATACAAGGAACATACTTTAAAACAATAAATCCCATATATGTGGCAAAATCCTGTCTCTACAAAAAATACAAAAATTAGCTGGGTGTTGGGGTGGCTCACAACTGTAGTCCCAGCTACTCAGAAGGCTGAGATGGGAGGATTGCTTGAGCCCAGGAGGTAGAGGTTGCAGTGAGACAAGATCATACCACCAGACTCTAGCCTGGGTGACAGAGCAAGACTCTGTCTCCATAATAAGAGGAAAACTGAAAACATTTCCTCAAAGATCTGGAAGAAGATAAAGATGCCCACTTTCACCACTTTTATTCAACACAGTACTAGAAGTCCTAGCCAGGGCAATTAGGCAAGAAAGAAGCGGCATCCAAATTGGAGAGGAAGAAGCCTTGTTCTTCCTCTCACAGGCAAGAACATGTATCCTTGTTCACAGGCAACATGATCTCATATTTAGAAAAATCTAAAGACTCCACCAAAAACTATTAGAACTGAAAAATTCAGTACAGTTACAGGATACAAAATCAACATACAAAAATCAGTAGCATTTCTATACACCAATAGCTAACAATTTGAAAAAGAAATCAAGAAAACAATCCTATTTACAATAGCTACAAAAAATTAAATACCCAGGAATAAATTTAACCAAAGTGAAGGATCTCTATAATGAAAACATAAAACACTGATGAAAGAAATGGAAGAAGACAAAAATAAATGGAAAGATTTCCCATGCTGATGGATTGAAAGAGCTAATACTGTTAAATATCTATAGTACCCATGGCAATCTACAGATTCAATGCAAGCCCTATTAAAATACCAATAAAATTCTTCACAGAAATAAAAAAAAAACTATTCTAAAATTCGTATGTATCACAAAAGACTCCTAATAGCCAAAGCAACCCTGAGAAAAAAAAGCTGAAGGCATCACATTACCTGACTTAAAAATATACTACAGGCAGGGCGCGGTGGCTCATGCCTGTAATCCCAGCATTTTGGGAGGCCGAGGCGGGCGGATCATGTGGTCAGGAGATCGAGACCATCTTGGCCAACACGGTGAAACCCTGTCTCTACTAAAAATACAAAAATTAGCTGGGTATGGTGGCAGGCGCCTGTAGTCCCAGCTATTTGGGAGGCTGAGGCAGAAGAATGGCATGAACCCAGGAGGTGGAGCTTGCAGTGAGCCAAGATCATGCCACTGCACTCCAGCCTGGGTGACAGAGCGAGACTCCGTCTCAAAAAAAAAAAAAAAAAAAAACTACAAAGCCATACGAACCAGAACAACATGGTACTGGCATGAAAACAGGCACATACATAGACCGATAGAACAGAATAGAGAACCCAGAAATAAATTCACATGTTTACAACCAAGTCATTTTTGACAATGGTGCCAAGAACATACATTAGAAAACGGACAGCCTCTTCAATAACTGGTGCTGAGAAAACTGGATATCCATATGCAGAAGAATGAAACTAGATTCCATACCTCTCACTATGTATAAAAAACAAATCGAAATTGATGAAATTAAGACCTGAAACTATTATATAAAACTGCTAGAAGAAAAACATTGGGGAAATGCTTCAGGACACTGGTCTGAGCAAAGATTTTTGGGTAAGACCTCAAAAGCACAGGCAGCAACAGCAAGAATAGATAAATATGATTACATAAAGCTAAAAAGCTTCTGCACAGGAGTGGGAACAATCAACAGAGTAAAGATACAACCTACAGAATGGGAGGAGATATTTGCAAACTGTCTATCCAATAAAAGATTAACCAGAATGTATAAAGAACTCAAACAATTCAAGAGTAAAAAAAAAAAATGTGATTTAGAAATGGGCAAATGATCTAAATAGACATTTCTCAAAAGAAGACATATAAATAGACAACAGGTATTAGAAAAAATACTCAATATCACTAATAATGAGGGAAATGAAAATCAAAACCACAGTGAGATACCATCTCATCCTTGTTAAAATGGCTGTTATCTAAAAGACAAAAAATAACAGACACTGGCAGGAATGCAGAGAAAGGGGAATGCTCACACCCTTTGGTGGGAATGTAAATTAGTGCCAGTATAGAAAACAGTATGGAGATTCCTCAAAAAACTAAAAATAGATCTACTATATGATCCAGCAATCCCACTACTACGTATATGCCCAAAATTTGAAAGGAAATCAGTATGTCAAAGAGACATCTGCATTCCCAAGTTTGTTGCAGCACTGTTCACAATAACCACGATATAGACTCAACCTAAGTATCCATCAACAGATGAATGGATAAAGAAAATGTGGTCTATAAACATGAGGGAATATTATTCAGTCATGAAAAAAGAATGAAATCTTACCATTTGCAGCAACATGGATGGAACTGGAGGTCACGATGTTAACTGAAATAAGCCAGGCACAGAAAGACAAATATTGCATGTTCTCATTCACATGTGGGAGCTAAGAAAGTTGCTCTCATGGAGGTAGAGAATAGAATGATAGTTACCAGAGGCTGGGCAAATACTAGGAGGAGAGGGATAAAAAGAGGTTGGTTAATGGGTACAAAAATAACAGTTAAATGGAATAAGCTCTATTGTTTGATAGCACAATAGGGTGGCTATAGTTAATAATTTATTGTATGTTTAAAAATAGCTAGAAGATTTGGAATGTAACCAACAAAAAGAAATGATAGATGTTTTGATATCTTAATTACCCAGATTTAATCATTATGCATTCATTGTATGCTTGTATCAAAATACCACAAGTACCCCATAATACGTACAACTATGTACCAATAAAAAAGTATTCAAAAATAAAAAGCTTATTAATAAAAGAAAAAAAAAAATCTTCTGAAAAAAAGAATTCTACAGAGAAGGATCCCCTAAAGGGTATGAAGTCCATCCCTCTCTCAGTGTTTTACAAAGGGGCCTGTCTTAGTCCAGTCAAGCCACTATAACAAAATGCCAAACACTAGGTAATTTACAACAGAAAATCATTTTTCACAGTTCTGGAGGCTGGGAAATCCAAGATCAAAGCACTGGTGGTGTCTGGCGAGGGCCTACTTTCTCACAGATTGTGCCTTCTTGCTGTGTCCTCACATGGTAGGGAAGGCAAGGCACCTCTCTGGGTTCTCTTTTATAAGGGAACTAATACCACTCATGAGGGTTCTGCCCTTATGATATAATCACCTCCCAAAGACCTCACCTCCTAATACCATCATCTTGGGGGCTAGGTTTCAACACATAAATTTTAAGAGGGAAACAAACATTCAGACCATAGCAGTGCCCACTGGCATCTTGGGCAGGATAAAGAGGAATTGTTCTATGCAATGCAAGGCATTAAGCATACCTGGTTCCTGGCTACTAACTACCAACAGAGACCTCCAGCTTCACTTGAGACCCACTGCAAATGACATGAGAACTGCACTGATCACTACTGAATTGCACACTGGCAGCAAAACAAAATTCAGTGTGATGTCTTTGCAGATACGTGGAACTCAGTGCGATGTCTTTGCAGATACGTGGAACTCGGTGCGATGTCTTTGCAGATATGTGGTCAAAGAAGTTACCTGCCACATTACAACATTCCTTTTTATTTGGCTACTGAGCAGCCTTAATCCAATTTGTTGCCCATCTCTAGCAGCTGGGCATAACACAGATTAATGGTCAAGTCCAGGTCCCACTATTTTGTGATAATGAGCAACTATTTTCTCTAATTAATTCCTTCATGTGAAAAACTGGGATAATGGTAATTCTAAGTACTGAGAGCTTATTATGTGCTAAGCGCTATTCTATATGCTTTCCATTAATTCATTTAATCCTCACAACAACTCCATGAGGTAGGCACTATTTCTGTTCTCATTTTGAAGAGGAAGAAAATGAGACATAGGTTAAGAAACCTGCCCAAGGTCAAACAGCTAGTAAATAGCAGAGCCAGGAGGACCCTGGTAATGGCAATTAAACTAGTTAGTGCATAGCAAATGTTGGTGCAGGATCTCATATGGGTCTGGTACACTGCACACAATTAATACAGGTTAGTTATTATTAGGTCGAAACCTTAGTATTAATATCTACTTCTGTGGGTTAATCTTAGTTAAAACTTGATTTTCTTACCTCTGAGGCAAATAAGCCCAAACAGTTGTTCTCTCTGATTCAACATCAAATTATGACTCAAGTTCCTCCTAACACTTCAAGAAGGTTTTTCACTCTGTTACTGTAATTTTTGCAAGTCTGGTCTCATAAGGATTGGTCAGTTGTTTTCTGTAAAGGGCTAGATAATATGTTAGGCATTGTAGGCCATCCAGTCTCTGTCATGTATCCTTCCAGTTTTAAAGTTTTCAACCCTTTTAAAATGTAAAAACCATTTTAGCCCATGGGCCATAGTTTGCCAACCCCTGCTCTCTGGGATTATTAATAAGAGTACCATATAAAACATCAAGAGACTTTCACATGGAGTAGATGGAACTATCAGAATTTGCTAATTGCCTCATTACACCGTCATTGATCCCCACCCACCACAATAAAGTTGCCAGATAATTTCATTAAAGTGGTAAATGACTAAAACAATGAAGAAGCATCTGAAAGTTTTCAGGGGAGGGAAGGTTGGTAGGTGGGTAGGCAAATCCAGAAATGCCTATGCAGAAGATTTAAGTCTTCTAAAGCATTGGTAATGAAGGGGAAAAGGAAACTATCTTAGAAAAATCATAGTGTTTTAGAAGCAGCATAAGATATCATTCATGCAACAAATCTTTAGAAATATGTATTGGGTATCTCTATGTTCAGGCACTCTCTCAGTAATGGAATTATAAAATTTTAGAGCTCAAAGTAACCTTAGAAATCATCTGATCCAATCTCATTTCATGGATGAGAATTCTGAGGCCTCAAAGTTAGTTAAAATAATTTGGCAATTTCTGTGCAAAATTAAATGTAGTGGGGTTTGTTTTTAACTCCTCAAATGTAGCACTTATGTAGATTATTAAATGTTTGTTGAATGGAGCTTATTAATGGAAAGCTCCTATTCTCTTTACCACCTTTAAACCACCTTTTTAATCTGGCAAAACAATACATTTTACTTGCTTTACCAATTTACTTAAAATCCTTTCTTTTTTTTTTTTTTTTGCTGTGTCTCACAAACTTTTGGTGTGCTTAAATGGCCTAACAATCACCAATCACTAAATGAACCAGTCTCTGATCCACCTTTAGTGCCTCCTTCTCCCTGCAGGCTCCTACCACCTCCACTCACTCCCCCTACCTCTCCTCAGATACTCTTCTCTAGTTCTGCTGCTGCCACTGTCACTGCTGTCTCAGCTCCTGTCTTTCTGCTTCAGTCCTTCCCACCTCAATACCTCCAGATTTAGACCATCCACATTTTCCTTCTTAAGACCCGGCTCAGGTCTTATCACCCTCAAGTTCTGAACATTGAAACAAATCCTACTTGGCTACTACTAAAGTTCCAGTGTTAGGCTAGTTCCTCAGCCCCAAATCTACCTTCTTTCTCCCAAGTCTTACTTACCATTATTTACTATTATTTGCCTATTTCCTCTGATGTTCCCTTCAAACTGTTCTTGGCTCTTGCCTAAATATGCCCCAATGTTTGAGCCTTTGCTAAAGCATCCCTCTCCATGAGAAACACCTTTTCGTCCATCCCAACCTTCAAAAACTTCATTCTTCCTTAATGCCATCTGCTCCTTGCCCCTGCTTTCTTCTCCATTTCTGCAGCACTTGGCTCTACTTTCTTATGCAGGAATCAAATCTGACCTTCTATTAGATTATCTGAGTATACGACCTAATGCTTCTACTAAAAGCAAGCTATCCATTCTGCAAGTACAATAAGAAATAGTTTTAAGTTAAAACACCAAATTTATTGCATAATATTGAACTATATGCACACACATAGAAAATAAACATTTCATATAACTGTATATATATTTTTAATCCTGTATTTATAAAGACTGAAAAACTACCAATTTAGCAATTGGAATAAGTTTTAAAAACAAAAAGAAAAAGCAAAAATCTACAATCCTTCATCAAGATTTGATGCTTTATCACAGTTCATAAATACTTCATTTTATATAAATAAGTCTTTTCTCTAGTTACTAGGAATTTAAAATTAGACTTACATGGATTCTTTAATCATGTAGAATTTTCTTACTCCATGATGAGGAAGGTTGAGCATGTCATTATTTTTAAAATACATATATTTGATTTAAACACAATCCCCCCTAAAATCCCACTGTAAACAAACATTTCGAATGTGATAAAGTTTCATAATAAAGAACGTCCTTAAATCTTAGCAATTAGGGAAGAGGAAAAAAAATCTGAGTAAAAATTTTGCAATTTAAATAAAAATTGAAAAAAAGGCTGCATGCATCCACTAGAAGGAGAGGAGAGGAAGGGAGCACTGAGTCAAGTAACAGAGAATGGGATAAAATAAAGAAGAAACGAAAGGAAAATCAGGGAGGACACAGGGTACGAAAAGGAGAAAATAAGGGAAGGGAGGAAGGAGAAAATGGTAGAGGACATAAGGTGATAGAAAAAGGGAAAGTAAATTTATTATTTCTACTTTTCTTGGACAATATAGAGACTCAAAATAGTTAATGCAACTTGCTCCAAAAGCGAGAGTGCAAGAGGTGGTGGGTCTATCAATTAACCTTATTGTCAAAGGGACAAGGATGAGCAAGAAAAAATTAGGCTCAGCTGCAACGAATGCTAAGCTGCTCTGCACATCTTTTAAAAGGTCTAGGAAATAGGCACAGCCATGGGAAAGTTGCTATTCCCTCAAGAACTTTTTAAAAGCAAGATATGTTTATATAGGCTCCCATAAATTCTTAGGAGTTCTGCCAAAATAATGGACCCAGACTCAGCTTTTTGGAATTGGGAGTTTCTGAAGCAGTCCTTTCCTCCTTTGGGTTAAAGGAGGGCTGCAACAAGCCAGAGGCATTTCCAAGTGTACAGAGGAAGGTGATGTTCTCGCATGCGCAGATAAAAAAGGACAGGTCAGTCTAAATCATTCTTATAGAGGAATGAGAAGTTAAGAGAAGGACAAGGAAGCACTGTGAGAAAACATCAGGGCTGAGAGAGACATTTGGGAAATTAAAGTTTAAAAATCCACTGCCATTTCATCCAGCAGAGTGCAACACATTCACAAGTGCAAGGAATACTGGGTAGTTTGGTTTAAAACAAAAACAAAAACACCTCCCATACAAGGGCCAATTTTTCACCCCATCCCCAACCTCTAATTTTTCAAAAAGGTTGTTTACTGCTATACAATCCCAGAAACACATCAACCAGGCTCAGTATTTAAAAGTCCCAACCCACTTAGACAATAAAAAAATAGAAATCACTCCCCATGATTTTCTGTATAGGCCTCAATGTGGACACTGAGGAACGAAGGGAAATACTGGACAAGCTGAGAAGCCTCAGGCCAAACTAAACCCTTCATAGTTGTCAAGGGCCTGGGTCAGCCGGGCACTCAGAATCTCTTTGCTGCTGTACTTGGGGAGGTCAAGAAGGTTGTAGCAAGTGTGGGCCACCGGCAAGTACTCCTCCCCGCTGGCTGTGGACTGGATGACAATCTGCAGACTGGCCATGCCGTAGATGGGAATCCGATCGCTGCCTGTCAGGAACACTGGGGAGAACGAGAAATGGCATTAGCAGCTAAGCAAACGGAAAATGGATCTCAGAGATCCTTCTGGCAACAGGAGAGGAAGGCATGACACCCTGTGGCTTGCATGAGAAGTACAATTACATTTATGTGCCAATATGCATCCTGTGGAATGAAAATTAGATGCCGTTAAGAAAAAAAAAAGGCCTCAATCAAATGTACACCCTCACAAATGTTAGATTTCACAAAATCAAAGAGGGAAGGAATTGCTGTCATAGGAAAAGAGGAGCTGATCTTAAGGGGAAAACAGAAGAAGACTGAAGTCTCTGACCTCAGGGTCTCCTCTCACCTCAAGTGCCTGATGCCTGTACCACCTTGTCTACGGAATTCCATTTAGGATCTATTTGCTCTCCTTTCCACGTCTCCATTTTTCTTAAACCCGAAGAGCTGACCCAAACATTATGTTAGACATTGCACTCTTGTGACATGCACTGTGACTTGGCAAAAGAGAGAGAGGGAGACAGACAGAGAAAGACAGCTCCTTGTTTTCTAGTGCTGAACAACACTCTCATAGTTGAATTGCTGGAAATTACTATAAGAAAATCATTAGTTAAGAAGCACTTTCAAATAACCTGCCATTCCCTGAGGCTGTGATACATAAAGTTTCTTGCCAAAAATCTCCAGAGTTAACAAACATTTCTGTAAGTCTAATGAACAGAAAGTGCCATTTTCTAGGGAAATTCCAGGACCATGAGCAGGCATCTCTTGAATGTCACAGCCCTACAAGCTCACTTGGCAAACCTTAACCTGTCATTCAGCTCTTCCACTACTGCTTCTCAATAGCCAATGCAGCCAGGCAGAGGAGAAGTGGTCCCTCTTTTTAAGAATTCTTGTGTAAGATCTCCACTTCCTCTCATCCTTGCTCCCATGTGAGCAGCAGAACCTGTTAAGTCCTACATTAATACTAATATATGCTCCATCTTATAAAGCAAAATAGACTGCCTATCAAACCCTGTGCTTTGATTTTACATGACTAAAATTCCATACTATGCACTAGCTAATTTCTGACGCTGATTACACACAGACACAAACTGAGAAATATTTCAACCATTTTTAAAAGGCTGAATTTGTTCATGTAAATTAGAATTCATTCTCCTTTCCAAAGGTATTATTACCCTTCTCAAATGTCATTCAGCCAGCCACAAAGGTCTACATATTATATGATTCAATTTGCATGAAATATCCAGAATAGGCAAATCCATAGAGACAGAAAGACTGGTGGGGGAGCTGGGAAGAAATGGAGAATGACTGCTAATAGGTATGGGGTTTCTTTTTTGAGGTTATGAATGTATTCTACAATTGACTGTGTGTTAGTTTCACAACTGTGTGTATACTGAAATATACACTTTAAATGAGTATGGTATATAAATTATAGCCCAATAAAGCTGCTATAAATCACACCTTCCCAGTTCCATCTGGATACTTTGTAATATATTTTAAAGGCTAGAGAGATAAGAGAGGTTAATCCAAACAATTTGACTTCATAAATGGAATACTTGAATAACTTACATATAAAATAATTGGTATTTTTAGAATAATTTAAAAATCAGGCCAGGCGTGGTGGCTCACACCTGTAATCCCAGCATTTTGGGAGGCCAAAACAGGCGGATCACTTGAGGTCAGGAGTTCAAGACGAGGACCAGTCTGGGCAACATGGTGAAAGCCCATCTCTACTAAAAATATAAAAATCTGCCGGGCATGGTGGCAGGTGCCTGTAGTCCTAGCTACTTGGGAGGCTGAGGCATGAGAATCACTTGAATCCAGGAGGCGGAGGTTGCAGTGAGCTGAGATCACGCCACTGCACTCCAGCCTGGGCAGCAGAGTAAGACTCTGTCTCAAAAAAAAAAAAAAAGAAAGAAAGAAAAGAAAAATCAGTGAGATGCTTCTTTTCTTCCTTTCATGCAACCCCTCTTGTTAGGCAACAGATCTGGATTAACAACCTATATTGTGCCTGAGATAACATTAAGACAAAAAGCATACATATAGTGAATTACCTGGTCTTTACCATTTAAATGAGTTAAGCCTCAGCTGTGGAGCATGTCATCCTATACTGTATGTAAGACTAAAATGTAGACAAATACCATATTGAGATTACTGATACTTACAGAGAAACTTCTTCTTCTTTTCCAATGGAAACTCATGAAATGTTTCCCAAAATAGTTTTACAGTGGGATGTGTGGCCGAGTAATCTCCCTTGTAGATGGCAGTCTGTCCAAAAAAGAGAAAAAGAAAAAAATGTATCTTGGAAGAATATTATAGTGGACATTATATATCATTTGCATTTGAGGCTAAGAAATAAGTGCTGAGATACAGGACACCTCTAAATCTAACTCAACCACAGTATGCTTGGAACGAGACCAGGCTCTGGGAACACCTCCCCAGGCTGCTGCTGCTTCGCCGGAGTTAAAGGAGTTAAAGGATCTTTTGTGCTTACCTCTTCCAGTTCTTCCCAGTTGTAGTTGCTGTTCCCCACCATCATAGCCCTCAGTTCTGAAGGCTGGAAGAGCTCAAGTACTTTGCCACCACACACCTTTAGGAAGCCACTAGAGAAGGCTGTGTACCATTCATGAACTGAGATTTGGAAGACATAATTCACATAAGCATCCACAAATTCCTGCCTGCCAGAACACAAAAGAAAATACATTTAGCTCAAAGTCTTGTAAAGCTTATGAAGTTACCCTTCTACACTGAGATTGGGAGTGATAAAAAATAGAATTTCATCAAATTCTCAAATCAGGAGGCATCCTAAGGCATCATATAGGTTACCAGCTCTCCTCTCCTCCCTCTCCATCCCCAGCCCTAACATTCCACCAAGTGCCTCAGGTGATCCAAGGCAGGATAAGCCAGATAGGAAGGGCAGCAGGCCAGGTATATAGAACTAAACTACTGGCTTTACCTGAGGTATTCCAGTTTTCATGTTAAAAGCCCTGCTTAAAATTTAGTGTGGAAAAAATAATAAGACCTTTTCTGCTTAAAATAAAAAGTCTAGGATAACAGTTCTAGGCCATTTTCCTCAGAAACAAATAAAGCTAAACCACTTGATACTTGTATCCTCACCTGTTTTAAAAGGTTCATTTTATAACTCCTTGTTTATAAAACCTTTACCTCTGGGAAGAACCATCTCAAATAAAGGCTCCATCTCACTAATAATCAGGCAAATGCAAATGAAGACGAGTGAATTGTCATTTGCACTCATCAGACTGGCCTAAGTTTAAAAATGAGATTATATCAATATGGTGAAGGTGTGGGGAAAACAGAAACCTCATAGGCAGTTGGTAGGAAGATAAACTGAAATGATGGGAACCATATCGCAACCATGGAAATATATAAAGATCAACCAAATGAGAAGAGCAAAGGCTATTTTTTCAGAGCTGCTATAGCAAGAGAGTCAGCCACTGTCACTTGTGTTGTGGCAGAGACTCAAAATCAAGCAGAGGAGTGGAAAAGCTTTACAGTGGAAAGAGGGAAGGCTTCAGGTACACTCTGATTGGAGGCTGCTAGTCTGGGGAAGCTGCAGGTGGGCTAACTAGAAGTGGGGCATCCTATGTGACTGGTTAAGGGTGTGTATTTGGCTTTCTCTGGTTGGCCCTAAGTTGGAAGTAGGAACAAAAATTAGGGAAGCTGCTGATTATTAATCACATCCTGGCCTATTTGGGCCCACTGTTACAGAAGTTATCGAGACAGATGGCAATCAGGCTGCCTGCAAGTCTGACTTATAGCAGGCTGGCTTCCTGGGCTGCTTATTGCAGATAAGAGGTTGGTTTCCCGGGCAGGTTGCTGCAGATTGTGGGTCTCAGCTCCATGTTTATTTATATATGGCCTGGCCATTGTCCATAGGAATATTCAGTCTCTCACAAGTGGAAATATAAACTGTGAACCTAGACATAAACATTTTGGGGGGAAATTCTGTCAATATCTAGATAAGTTGAAAATGTAAATACCCTTGACCATGCCACTGTGCTAGCGGGTAGGTAATGCAGAGACGCTAACATGTGTGCACAAGAAGATGAGTGCAGGCAAGTTTACTGCAGCATTTTCTTGCAATATAGAGAATTTAGAGAAACAACACTAAACATCCATTAATATGAACATGGACAAGGAAAAGATGGTAGAGTCATATGATGGAAACCATAAAGCAGAGCACTTTGATGGAATTAACTAGATCTAAACTTAGCAAAATGAATAGAATCTCAAGAACAATGCTGAGTGAAAATCAAGTATTTGCATGTTCAGTAAAATATGATGGCATTTATGTAAGTTGTGTTTTAACACTTAAAACAATGCTACTTATAAAAGGTAGTAGCTCTGTCACTCAGAGCTTGTGACCCTTGGGCAAGTTATTTAACTTCTCCATGCCTGTGTCCTCATTTGTAAAATGGGGGAGAGTAAGAGTAGATAACACATGGGACTGCTTTAGGATTAAATGAGTGAATACATGTAAGAGTGCTTAAACCAAGGCTGGTGTATAACAATTACTTTGTAAGTATTAACTAGTATTATCATATTGTTTATGGATATGAGATTTTGCTTATGAGTATGAAATTATAAATATGATGCATACATAAGATGTGTAAGTGTTCATTTTTAAAAACAAAGACATTAATGTAAAAAGATCTTTGTCTAGCCAGGTGCAGTGGCTCATGCCTATAATCCCAGCACTTTGGGAGGCTGAGGCAGGCAGATGGCTTCAGCCCAGAATTCAAAACCAGCCTGGGCAACATGGCAAGACCCAGTCTCCACAAAAAATTAGCCAGGCCTGGTGGTGCATGCCTGTAGTCCCAGCTGCTCAGAAGGCTGAGGTGGGAGAATCACCTGAGCCCAGGAGGTCAAGGCTGCAGTGAGCCATGATCACGCCACTGTACTTCAGCCCGGGTGACAAAGCAAGACCCTATCTCAAAAAAAAAAAAAAAAATCTGTTTTAACATACATGTTTATTATAAAAAGTATAAAAACATAAAAAAAACATATCAAATTCATAAGAGTTTTGTCTGTGTAAGAAAGAAGGGCGGGAAGAGGGGAATGGAATTAAGGGTATGTACAACAGTATCAGTAATTTGGAATTAAGGGTATGTACAGCGGTATCAGTAATTTTTTTCTTTTATTAAAAAATCTGAAGCAAATACCTGTTGACTGTGGATCATATATACAAATGTTTGTCACATTAACTTTTTGTATTTTAGATTAAAAACAATTTTAAAACTTCACATCATGAAGATAGTTATTTACTACTTATCCATCACTGTAATTTAATACTTCATAAAGCTACATTTGAATTATTGGGTTTCCTCCAAGCAGATAGTTTTTACATGTTCACCATCCACACCAATAACTAGCCAACAAATGGTGTAATACAGTGGATAAGTGAGGCAGACAGGGGTTCAAATCCAGGCTCTGCCATCTTCTGTATCTAACTAGTAAGCCTCCCTTTTCCCATTTTTAAAATGGTATAACTGTGCAATCTTTAAAATAAAGCCACTAATGTAAAAAGATTATTGTGCATGTTAATCATTGATGCTGAAAGTTTCTCACACCGTATATAACACCTCACTTCTCTGAAACCCATGACACTAAACTAATGACATTTTTCTGATACAATTACCCAAGAGAAACACCATCACAACAATTTTTATTACAGACTGTGATGGTTAATTTTATAGGTCAACTTGGCTAGGCTATGGCATCCAGTTGTTTGGTCAAACACCAGTCTGGATGTTGTTAAGATATTTTTTTAGTTGGGATGAACATTTAAATTCATTGACTTTGAGTAAAGCAGGTTACCCTCCATAATGTGGGTAGGCCATATCCAATCAGCTGAAGGCCTTAAGAGAAAAAGACTTGAGGTCCTCCAAAGAGGAAAGAATTCTCCCTCCAGACTGTCTTTGGACTCAAGATTTAAATATTAACTATTGCCAGAATTTCTAGCCTTACAGCCTACCCTGCAGATTTCGGGTTTGACAGCCCCCACAATCACATGAACCAATTCTTTAAAATAAATCCCTCCTTGCCCCCACCCCCCTCGGCTTCACACCCTGTTGGTTCTGTTTCTCTGGAGAACACTGACATATAGATTTCGGTACTAAGAAGTACAGTACTACAACAGCAAATACCTAAAAACGCAGATGTGCCTTTGAAATGAGGAAATAGGTAGAGCCTGAAAGAGTTTTGAGGAGCTTGATAGAAAAACCTAGATTTCACTTAAGGGACTATTGGTAGAAATAGCTCAACAGTCTCAGGAAGCAGCCTGAGACTCTCACCATCTACATGCCCAATCTTGAACCTTTTAGCTAGCAGCCTCCGGTCTTCCTTTTTAGCAACACTAAACAGATTAAAGCCACTTTGGGAAACAGTGTGGCAGCTTCTTATGAAGTTAAGCGTACATTTACTGTATGACCCAGCAATCCCACTGCTAGGTGTCTACCCAAGAGAAATAAAAGTCCATGCTCATAGAGAAACCTGTAGATGAATGATCACAGCATTATTCACAATTATGAAAAACTGCAAACACCACAAATGGGAATACTACCCAATAATAAAAAGTAAAATAAAAAATAATAAAAAATAAATTTACTAATATATACAACAACATAAATCAATCTCAAATGTACTCTGCTAGTAAAAAAAAAAAGCCAGGCTCAAATGGCTACATTCATATGATTCAATTTACCTGACATTCTGGAAAAAACAGAGGTACTGAGACAGAGAACAGCACAGTGCTCACCAGGGCTGGATGCTGGGGAAGGGCCACAACGGACTTTTAGGGGACTATTTACTGTTCTATATCTTGATTACTACAGTGCTTACATTACTGTATTTGCTTGTGAAAGCACGCCCAAAAGGACAAATTTTACTGTTATGTAAATGATACCTCAATAAGCCAGACTTTTTAAAAAACAGTCTGGTTTAACACTAAGTTTTAAGATCTGTTGAGACAGGAAAATAAAAATCTTGAAAGATGAACATGCCCTAAATATTTTAAGCAAGTTAAGTTAGTCAAATGAATTTAACCAAAATGTGGGATTTTTTTTTTAAAGTCTGTCACAACATCCATACTATAGGGGTCAAAAGGCCTGTTTTCTGCCCCTGCATCTGCCAATTAAGTGATACATGCAGTAAGATGATTTCACTGTATTTGCTTCTAAGTTTACTATCTGTAAAATGAGAAACATCATTCCTAATCTCAAGGCAGCTGTAGCCATCAAAAGAGATGATATATGGGAGTGAGAAAGAAGGCAGAGAAGATGGTGAGCCAGTAAGAAGATGGTGAGCAGGGTAAAGAAGACGGTTGGGGGAAGGTGGTGAAGACCGTGGGGGAAGGTGGGGAAGAAGACAGATCGTGGGGAAGAAGATGGTGGGCAGGGTGGGGAAGAAGAGGGTGGGGCTGCGTGGGTGGGTGGGGAGGAAGAGGGTGGGGCTGGGTGGGTGGGTGGGGAAGAAGAAGGCGGGGCTGGGGGTGGGTGGGAAGAGGGTGGGGCTAGGGGGTGGGGAAGAAGAGGGTGAAGAGGGTGAGGAAGAAGAGGGTGAGGAGCGTGAGGAAGAAGAGGGTGAAGAGGGTGAGGAAGAAGAGGGTGAGGAGCGTGAGGAAGAAGAGGGTGAAGAGGGTGAGGAAGAAGAGGGTGAGGAGCGTGAGGAAGAAGAGGGTGAAGAGGGTGAGGAAGAAGAGGGTGAGGAGCGTGAGGAAGAAGAGGGTGAAGAGGGTGAGGAAGAAGAGGGTGAGGAGCGTGAGGAAAAAGTTCGGTGGGGGGAAGGTGAGGAAGAAGGCAGTGGGTGAGGAAGAAGGGGGTGAGGAGGGTGAGGAAGGTGGGGAAGAAGAGGGTAAGGAGGGTGGGGAAGAAGAGGGTGAGGAAGGTGGGGAAAAGGACAGTGCGGCGGGGGGAAGGTGAGGAAGGAGGCAGTGAGTGGGGAAGAAGGCGGGGAAGAAGATGGGCAGAAGGTGGGGCATAAGTCAGTGCGGGGGAGGGGCAGGAGGGAGGGAGAAGATGTGGTGTGGAAAGGTGTGAAAACAGATAGTGGGGAAGGCAGGGAAGCAGACGGTGTTGGGGGAAGGCAGGGAAGACGAATGTGAGCGGGGTGGGATAGATGGCACATGCTTTAACCAAGATAAGAGGGGGCCTTGGCCCTGGGCCCCATGCTTTAGAAAGACTTGCTTTTTTTCAGCCCTCCTCAAGCTTTAGTCCTTCCCACAGGCCAAAGATTCTGTAGGATCTTCTAGAACACACACCAGGACACCGGGAGCTCTGAGATTTCCTACCCAAATGGCTCCAAAACTGCTTCCAGGGGAGTCCTGCTGAGAGACGACCTTGCCACCAAGATATATGCCGCTAGGTGTGTGGGATGGCCAAGGGGGTGTTGGGTGGACACATAGGTACAGAGCTTGGATATGCAAGCTGCCCTATCCACACACATGCACCCCAGGTCCCCAAAGGGGTGGAATGGAGCCAGCTTGCCCGTTCCTCCACTGCATGGAGAGGAATGCGGAGGAATCTAAGAGGTGATCAAACGCCAGCTATGGAGAGAGATGCAGAGGAAAGCGAAGACATATGCACTGGCATTTGTAGAAGGGCCTGGATGGGGGTGAGGAGCACACGGAAAATGGTCTGAGGCCATCTATGCAGTTCCTGAAGAAGCACCTCGGGCAGCTACTGACACTCCCAGCCCAGCTCTACAGGGGTGGGTACATGGGTGGGCTGGGAACAGGGTGTCTGTCCAACAGGCGGGTGTTGAGGGCCCAGAAGATGTCAGGGTAGCAACAGGAGGAATCTGGTGCAGTATGAGCACACGGCCGTCAGCTGATAGTGGGAAGCCAGTCAAGTGCCGCGAAAGCAGGAGGCGGGGCCGCGGCCAACGTCATTCCCGCGGCCGCACGTCACCGCCACTTGCCGCATCCGCAAGATCTCTCTGGACCAGCTCGGGTGCAGGGCCTCTGCGGGAGCCCTCCTAGACCTCTGCGGCTTCTCCTCTAACATGGCCGACTCGGAAAACCAGGGGCCTGCGGAGCCTAGCCAGGCGGCGGCAGCGGCGGAGGCAGCGGCAGAGGAGGTAATGGCGGAAGGCGGTGCGCAGGGTGGAGACTGTGACAGCGCGGCTGGTGACCCTGACAGCGCGGCTGGTCAGATGGCTGAGGAGCCCCAGACCCCTGCAGAGAATGCCCCAAAGCCGAAAAATGACTTTATCGAGAGCCTGCCTAATTCGGTGAAATGCCGAGTCCTGGCCCTCAAAAAGCTGCAGAAGCGATGCGATAAGATAGAAGCCAAATTTGATAAGGAATTTCAGGCTCTGGAAAAAAAGTATAATGACATCTATAAGCCCCTACTCGCCAAGATCCAAGAGCTCACCGGCGAGATGGAGGGGTGTGCATGGACCTTGGAGGGGGAGGAGGAGGAGGAAGAGGAGTACGAGGATGACGAGGAGGAGGGGGAAGACGAGGAGGAGGAGGAGGCTGCGGCAGAGGCTGCCGCGGGGGCCAAACATGACGATGCCCACGCCGAGATGCCTGATGACGCCAAGAAGTAAGGGGGGCAGAGATGGATGAAGAGAAAGCCCACGAAGAAAAAAGCCTGGTTTTGTTTTTCCCAGAATATCGATGGACTTAAAAAGGCTCAGGTTTTTGACCAAAATACAATGTGAATTTATTCTGACATTCCTAAAATAGATTAAATTAAAGCAATTAGATCCTGGCCAGCTCGATTCAAATTTGACTTTCATTTTGAACATAATAAATATATCAAAAGGTGTTAAAGAAAACTGAATTAAACCCAAAATTATGTTTTCATGGTCTCTTCTCTGAGGATTGAGGTTTACAAAGGGTGTTAGCAGATGCGAAGTAAAGAACGTCACTTTGAAACCCATTCATCACACAGCATACGCTACACATGGAACACCCAAGCCATGACTGAACACGTTCTCAGTGCTTAATTCTTAAATTTCTTTACTCATGACATTTCGCAGTGCAGAGAAGGCAGAACCCAAGAAAAACGTCATCTTTGAGACTTTGCTTTTGTAACGCAGACATCAGCTTTACACTTCACAGGAGATTGATGGCATTGAGGAAGATTGCAATGGAGATCATGACACTACTGTTAATAAGGCCAGGAAAACTGCCATTTCAAGTTCTGAAAAATGTTTTGAGTATTTGAATTTAGAGAAACAACATGGTTCCAAGAAGGAGGGTGTAAAACCTGTAAAATACTGTCAACATATGTATTCATTAGTTACAATCTCATGTTTGTGTTTTCTTAGTACTGTCTATTTACAAACACGTAAAAAATACCCCAAATATGTTTAAGTATTAAATCACTTTACCTAGCGTTTTAGAAATATTAATTTACTTGAAGAGATGTAGAATGTAGCAAATTATGTAAAGCATGTGTATCCAGCGTTATGTACTTTGCGCCTTGTGACGTCTTTCTGTCATGTAGCTTTTAGGGTGTAGCTGTGAAAATCATCAGAACTCTTCACTGAAGCTAATGTTTGGAAAAAATATATACTTGAAGAACCAATCCAAGTGTGTGCCCCTACCCCCAGCTCAGAAGTAGAAAGGGTTTAAGTTTGCTTGTATTAGCTGTGCCTTCATTATTTTGCTATGTAAATGTGACATATTAATTATAAAATGGTGCATAATCAAATTTTACTGCTTGAGGACAGATGCATACAGTAAGGATTTTTAGGAAGAATATATTTAATGTAAAGACTCTTAGCTTCTGTGTGGGTTTTGAATTATGTGTGAGCCAGTGATCTATAAAGAAACATAAGCTTAAAGTTGTTTATCACTGTGGTGTTAATAAAACAGTATTTTCAAAAAATATATATAAAAGACTCGGTACTGTGACTGCCTGCATTCAAATCCCAGCTCTGCCTCCTATTAGTAATGTACCTTAGGCAACTCAGCTAATACTCTCAGTGGCCAGTTTCTCCTCATCTACAAAAGGGAATAGGAATAGTCCCTTCCTCATGGGTTACTATGAAGAGCAAATGGATTAATACATATAAATCCTATAGAATAGCATCCAAACCATGGTAAGTGCTGAATAATTCTTAGCTATTATTATTACATGAAAGATAAAGACAGTGATTGGAAATTCAATCCTCCTCTCCTGTTACAAAATGGGAGAAAGAGACATCACTACATCCCTCCCTATGTTTTTGATTCCTTATTATGAGAGAAGAATGTGGCCTTTAATTCAGAAATGCAGGAAATTAAATAAACTATCTTGTTTTGGTTTCCTCAATATAATATCAGGTTTTTATCATCTCCCAGAAAGGATAAAAAAGGCTATTTCAACTTTATGTTTGCTTCATTCTGAATGAAGCAGAAAGTTTTTTTTAAAAACTGGACTCCAGAAAAATTAAAAAATCAGATGCCATTTGCTTCCTTTTCCCTGAAGGGTTAAAATTACAAAGAAGCAAAATTATATTGCTTTATCCTAGGGAATGGAAGGCAGCACTGACCTGTTGCTAATCACAACAGATTGTTGAGTACAAACAACCTTAAGGTAAAGTTAATCTTCATTATGCTCAGGCCAACCAAAAGAGAAAATCAGAATAATACGTTACATACAAAGTTCTGATTATCTTAATCATATGATTATCTTAATAGAGAAAAAATCTAATAAAATTTAATATTGATTTCTTATATCCAGGAATGAGAGAGACTATCATTTTACTATTTTTCTGGTTCCAGTAAAAAGCAAAAACGATTGAAACACAACTAAGAGGCATAAGTATTGGGAAATGTTTTTTACATATAGAAAACCCAAGAGAATCAACTGGAAAACAATTCAATTTAATAAGTTTGATGAACTGACCAGTTATCAGATAAATACACAAAAACCAATAACCATTTATAGGCACTAATAATGATCAAAATATATGTGAAAGGCTCTCAGAGTAAAAATAAGAAATCAAAACATTTATAAAACCTCTAATAAGAAATGTGTATGACCTATGTAAAAATAAAAAACAAACATAACATAAGCCTTTGGATAGTAAGACTGAATATCACAAAAACGTCAGTTCTTCCCAAATTAACTTTTATCACAATTCTAATCAAAACTCAAACTGGATCTGGAACCTAATATAATTACCATAATGTTCACCTTAAGAACAGCTAAGAAAACCTTTAGCAATTTGGAAACAGTTTAGATTTTTACCTCAGACTACAGACTAACTGAAGAAAATATATTAAATATCAATTACTGGACAGGGAATGGCTAGGATTAGAGTGGTATAAGACCAAAAGAAATAACACACATGACAACACAAAAATTAAGAAATCACAGAGTTAAAGACACACTCTACATTTTCAAAACCAAAAACAGAGGATAAAACCTACAATAAATATGGATGGCAAAGGGTTAATAGTCATAAACATAATGAAGAGTTCCTATGAATCATATGAAAATTATTAAGTCCTACTAGAGAAATACATAAAGGACATCAGCAGAGTCTCTAAAAAGAGGAAAGACTGCAAACCCTGCCTGAGGCAGAAAGAACTCACCTAATGCTGCGTGTTCCTGAACCTGCAGCACTAGGTGAGCCGGGGCTCTGGCAGGGTCTAGAGACAAGTGTTCCTAGCTATGTGCTCTGGCCAGCAATCTTTCTTTTGTTTATGATAAGATTTTAGCTGTGGGGTTTTCTAGCTTAGAGAATTGTTGGCCACTTCTCTAAGGATACAGGGATGTTTGTGACGTCAAGCGATTTCTGCCACTTCCTAACTGGGCTAATCTTTATATTGTTTCCTGGACTGCTTATTTGATAGTTTCTCTGGCAACCCTAAAACCTGCATGTTAACATCTAACAGGATACCCTTGCTTCAAGGTAGGTCAAACACTATCATTCATAAACCATTTTAACCTATTATAGGCCAAAATTAGTCAACAAAGCACAAAATAACTGGCAGAAAGAAAGGAAGCATGCAATACACACTCAACCAACTCTCTGAGTATTACGCAGAAAACTGGCATGCCGATGCTTACTGTGAAAAATGGCATGGCAGCTCTCTCTGCCTGAGAATGTACACTCAATGCATACACATAGACACATTTACACATATACACACATGTACACACTTTATTGAGGTGAAATTTGCATAACATAAAATTAACCATTTTAAAGGGAACAATTCAGTGGCGTTTTGTACATTCATAATGCTGTGCAACCACCACCTTCTAGTTAATTCATTTTTTAAACAAATATTTTAGAGGTAAACAGCAGTAAAATAGATCAATACTGTGTAGACTATGTAAAGTAGCCTATGTGTGAAAGAAATGCAACTTTTTTTTTAAAGAATACACACCATGTTTCTAAGGACTGGATGAAATGGTGATAATGACATATAAGGGAGTATAATTCATTAGCAAAATCAATTTATCAAAAATATCTACCAACAAATTCAAATGTTATACATTTTAATTCCATTTCACCCCTGAGACCTTATCATTAAAAAGCAAATTTAAAGGCACAAAATCCTTTATACACAAAAGATACTTGATATAGTCTTATTAAAAATGGTGGTGGGGGGGAAGAGAAAAAAGAGGAATAAAAAAGAACATACAAACAAGCCAAATATTCAACAGTGAAGAAACAGAAAAATACACATTCACATAGCAAACCATGGCAGTCACTATTAAGGGCATTCATGAGTACTCTGAAATAGCATTTTAAATATAAGCATTGTCTTCACCTAAGTTTAAAAATTCAGACATTCCATTCCATATGTATATTAGTTATGTTTTTAACTATTACAATTTTGCTTTTTGAAAACATTACCTAGTCAGCCTGAAACGAAAAACAGCAAAGTCTTCAAAGTCATTTTTCTTCCTAGGGCGAAAGGAGGATGGGAACTCTTGAGCCCCAGCCTTAGCCCCTGAGAGGCCATATGCTGGTACCCATGGAGCGCAGTCTAACTCAAACCACCTGGCTTTGAATCCTGGCTCTGGTTTAGAATCCTGGACTTCTAGCTGTGTAACGTTGAACAAGAGACTTATGCCTGTCTGTGCCTCAGTTTCCTCCTCAGTAAATGGGGAGTCTTACATGTAAAATATTTCAAATAGTGTCTGATGCATGGTAAGCACTCAAGAAGTGTTACTGGCATTTTAATTCTGCAGTTCCTGTAATAGTCCAGTGCAAATACAATGCAGATCTTAAAGACTGCATCCCTCAGAAACTATCCTGAAAGATCAACTGAAGTCTGCCAGCGGTCCTGAAGTAGATCTTAAGGAGCAAGAAGTGTTTGTCATGCATGAGTTTTATTCTCAGGTTCTCACTACGGAATCTAGATGCCCTTTGAAGCACTTACCTTAAGTTTGGCATTTCTTACTATGTGATCTCTTTACTCTACTCTCTGCCCCCCACTGCCCCACCCCCCAGCCCCATGTGTGTGTCATCTGTTTCTTTTTTAATATGGGGAAAATGGGAAGACAGCAATTGCATTTAATTTGATTGCATCAAATTAAGGTAAATTTTAGGGAATCTAGAATGACATATGGGTTTTTCACTAATGGTAATTAACACCATATTATAGACCATAAGAAATGCTTAACCATGAGTAGTCATGTGATATAGTATTATCCAGATGTGACTACCAGCTGGTGGCAAGATTTGTCTATGATGCAGCCACCAGTAATCAGCCACAGATGTTCTTTTACCTGGATGCCTACAACTCATTTGACTGTGTAGGTTCTGTCCAAGGATAGAAAGCATTTTAAAACCAAATGAAATGGAATAAATTATGAATACAGAATTGGTATTCCTCTGGCATTTTCCCCTGGGGCAGCAATGCCAGCAAATATCTTACTGTTAACAAAAACAGCCTCAATGCCAGAAGTATCTGTGTATACAACTGCCTAAGTTAAAAGGCCAGTAGGTATTCTTCTTACAGCTATTTCATTTTCTTAGTCATATAATTTAGGACTGCTAATGACTACATTATGGCATATAGCCAAGGAAATAATGACTATAATGATCAATCTTTTACAACTTCATACAGCCTTTCTTACCAGGACCTCAATGTACTTTGTTGGTAAGATTTCTATTTTGTGCAGCATAAAATGAAAAGAAAAAAAAATTCATTCATGTCTTTTTCTGGTGGTCCCTAACCAAAACAGCTATAGTAAAGAGTACAGCAGTAACCATGAATGGGACTGGTGTCCTTATAAGAGTCATGAGAGCTTGCTTCCCAACGCTGCTCTCCACCATGCTAGGATACAACGAGAAGTCAGCAGTCTGCAACGTGGAAGAAGGCCCTCGCCAGAACCTAACCATGCTGGCAGCCTAATCTTGGACTTCCGGCCTCCAGAACATGACAAATACATTTGTGTTGTTTATAAGCCATCCAGTTTATCGTACTTTTTTACAGCAGCCCAAAGACAAACAGGTAACTGTGACAGCAACAGGGTCTCCTGCCTGTCACTGAGTGACACAGACATATACATCAGTGCCTAAAGTAGCATGGATGAGTTCACAGTGTATTCAATGAGTACTCTGAAAAACCGAAATCTAAATTTCTACCTAGTACAGAAGCTGTTCTGTACATCTTGAACACAGTAAAATGCAATCAAAATTTCTGTCTGAAACGACAACTCAGATTTTTCCATCCCTTTACAGAGCACCTTTCATGTTTATATCCTCTTCTCTACTTTCTAGTATCCAAATCTTAGTAGGCTTCCAAACTTAGCTCTATCCCATATCTGTCCTCCCAGATGCATCTGTCCAAGCTGACTTCTCTGAACGCCTTCAGATTCAACCACCCAATTTAGTCTTCATATTCCATTTATGGTTGCATCTGGATACAGCTTATCACCCTAAACAAACTGTGTTATATTTTACTATTCCTGCAGTTTCTCCCACAACTGTTGAGTCAATTCAATTGTTGATTCAAAGAAATGTCTGTTGAATAAGGAGAAAGACAGTGAGAGTGACAGGGAGAGAGAAATGGAGAAACAGAAAGGGAGAAAAATTCAGACTCAGAAAGAGAACAAAAAAGACAGAGACAAAAAATATGCTAAGAGAAATAACTTGACAAAGATATGAAAAGGAGTAATAAGGCAGTTCTGGCCACTGCCTCAATTGCAGACTACATTGCCAATTGCCTATTCCTGCACTAGGTCATTCATTTCCCCAGCCACTGTATCATACTCACAGAGCACTATGATGACTCAGCAGAGGATGAGGACACTCTGAATGTTCCCCTTCCTCAGGATGCTTGCCTATCCCATTGTTAGCTTCTAACAAATGATGCACACATTATCTTGTCTGAAACTTAATGCAAAAGCTAAGACATTGTTTGAAAGACTAAAGGTTACGTATGTATCTACATACGTACTCACACGCATCTACAATGTTATAAAGCAATCCCCAAAACCAGGAGGGAAGGGAAATCAGCTGGGCTAACAAATCTGCTTTATGATCTGCCATAAATTTCCCAATTCTAAAAACATTATCTGACTATATGGAATAAAAAGCCTGGTCTTATTAAGGAAATAAACATCCTGAAGATAAATTATTTACTGTTAACAAAAGTACCAATGTTATATAAAGGAAACTGCTTTTAGCCCCAAGAGATTCTTATCAAGGGTTTTGATTGCAACATTCTTACTTGAATCAAGACTAGCCTCTATATTAGGTTTCTAGAGCCAAGATAATTCCATCAACTGAAGCCAGTTTTGTTGGGTGTCTGGGTGGCTTCTGCATCATTTCACTCAACTCTGATACTATAGCTCACTTTCCCCAAAGCTGAGGCTTCTTGGATAGTCTGGAAGGTTAACATGACAAAAAAAAAATGGTTAATGAATGATGTATGAGATCATACTAGCTTCGAGTCGTTTGTTAAAATGTCAAGGATGGGCCAGGAGCGGTGGCTCATGCCTGTAATCCCAGCACTTTGGGAGGCCGAGGCGGGCAGATCAGCTCAGGTCAGGAGTTCGAGACCAGTCTGGCCAACATGGCAAAACCCCATCTCTACTAAAAATACAAAAATTAGCCAGGCATGGTGGTACACGCCTGTAATCCTAGTTATGCGGGAGGCCGAGGCAGAAGAATCACTTGAACCCAGGAGGTGAAGGTTGCAGTGAGCCGAGATTGCACCACTGCACTCCAGCCTTGGAGACAGAGTGAGACTCTGTCTCGAAAAAAAAAAAAAGTAGTCAAGGATGGAAGAAGAAGTCTGTCAATATTTTTTTTTTTTTTTTGGCGGGGGCGGGGGGAGATGAGGTCTTGCTTTGTTGTCCAGGCTGGAGTGCAGAGGCATGATCATGGCTTACTACAGCCTCCACTTTCCAAGCTCAAGTGATCCTCCCACCTTAGCCTCCTGAGTAGCTGGAACTACAGATGTGCACTGCCACACACCTGGCTAATTTTTTTTTTTTTTTTTTACTTTTTTGTAGAGACTTGGTTTTGCTATCTTGCCCACGCTGGTCTTGAACTTCTGAGCTCAAGCAATTCACCCACCTTGGCCTCCCAAAGTTCTGGAATTACAGGCATGAGCCACTGCATCCAGCCCATTCCTATTTTCAAAAGGAAAGATTATGAAAGAAAATCAAGATAGATCACTTGGATAGAGTGAATTTAATAGGATCTCCAATTGCATCTTCCCAACTATTTAGAGGAAGAAGCCAATAAAAGTCCAGAGTGAGTTTTACTTAATTTTCCTGCATGCGTACAAACAGCATCTAGTTTCTCCACATCTGTATCTTTTTTCATAGCTTAAATGAAACCTTGCTTTCCTCTCTAAAGGCTTCCAAAGAAAGACTGTCATTCTCTCACCTTTCCCACCCCCTACCCGCTCTTTCCTTAAGCCAGGAAGTTTCAATGCTAGCCTATGTGCAAATTATGCTCAAATCCTCAAGAGTCTGCATTTTATTCTAACTTATATAGCTCCTCTAAGAAATTACGTTTTCCTTGCTCTTGTTTTTCATTTCACCACTTCTTTCTTGTTGATTCTTGCTGTAAGCGACCTCAAATTTAATAGTGATTGAGGCTCACATAACTAATTAAAAAATATTCATATAAGACTTCTTTATTGAGATATATAAATTTTCTGCTCTAAACACAATCACCTGGGTATCACAAAGACATATCAAAATCAATATATTCAAAATGGAACTTTCCCTTGAACCTGCTTTATAGACTCTGTTTCCTATTAGTGTTTGAATTAGAAACCTCAGCATTATTATCAATATATAACTCTCTCATACCATCCATATATAATCAGACACTAGCTCCTATTTGGTTATATAACCAACTCTGTTTCCCACTGCCTTCATTCTGGCTGTTAACATCCTTTACCTGAGCTACCTCAAAAGCCTCCTAATGGGTATCCCTGCACACGGTCTATTTCCACAGGACCCCCAAAGTAATCTTTCTAAAATAGAAACCAATCATGTTCTACTCCAAGCGCCGTTCAAGGCCTTGATAACCTCCACTCTGATGCTACTATAGTCTCCCTTCATCCGTACACCAGTACCCACTCCACAAGTACCCAACATTCTCTATCATGTGTCAAACTGCAGAGTCCCAACTCATCTGGTGCCTAAAATGTTTCCTCCAACTTGCATTCTTTAGTGTCTGATAAAAGTGTTGTAGCCTCTTACCCTAGTACCGTGGCACCTGGGCTACAACTTCTATCACATACACTGGATTCTATTGCAATTATTCCATACATTGACCCTTCTCAACTAATCCCAAAGCTTCTAAGGATAGAAGTTATTCACCCTCTATACCCAGCACTATGGCTGGCACACAGTGGGCACTCAGTGTTTGTAAAGTAAATTGATTTCATGCAGATTAGCATAATTTAATATAAAAGTAAGCAAAATTGAGTATCTTCTCTCCTCTAAAGAGTTAACTCAGAGATTATGAATCATCCTGAAAAATCAAATGTACTTGAATTTGTTGTTATGATCCAGACTCTATGACAAATCAATCAGCAGTAAAATAGCAGTGATAGTAAGCACCTTTATAAAATTCATTTCTTCAACACATATTTTTTGAGTATTTTTGTGCCAGGCACTCTGTTAGATACTAGAAACTCTGTGCTAGATGCTGGGAGTCCATTCATTCCAAAGTATTTTCCTGTGAATTATCTCATTTCATTCTCACAACCATCCCATGAAGTAGAGAGCACAGTGATTATAATCCCCATTTGGCAGATGAGAAAACTGAAACCAGTTTACGTAACTTGCTCAGAGTCAAAGCCAAAAAGATGCAGCTCTAGAACTAAAACAGTCATCTCCTGAATCTAGGCCGGGTGCTTGCTCTGCTTTAAAAATTATTTAAAATCTGTAAATTATTGCCCTATCACCCTTACTTACCTCCTCTGAAGAAGGTATTAATATTAAAAAGTAATTTTTATTTTGGTCTTAAATGTAAAACTGCAGAAATATGAAGTAGCAGTATCTGCAACAGTCCAAGGTCAGGACTAACCTGTTATCCTTGCACACAGTTACATTATCTCCCCCAGGTATCAGCTTCTTCTGTTCAATCACTCCATAGCTTTCTCGGCAGATCTATATTTAAGGTGGAAAAAAGAAATATTTCAATTTTGTTAACCATTCATCTTTCTAGAACTCAAATGACTGAGAGAGGCTTTAGGAACAAATGTAGTTTCATGACTATTACAGAAAATTAGTGGGAGAATAATCAGAACTTGAGTCAGAAAACATTAGCAGGTTAAAAAACATCTTTTGTTTTAGGACATGGAGTTGCCAATAAATGCAATAAATAACAGATTAATCATTCATTCATTTATTCAACACGCCCACTGAACCCCTATAACACTCAAGACACTATGACTAAAATAATTTGATTCAAAGAAGTCTCTGACTTTTTTCTATGATTTGAAGAAGAACTAATGTTAAATATCACTCTAAAGATGGTAAGAGAGACAGCCACAATCCTAAGTAAACTGTGGAAATTCTTACCGTGAAGTTGAGGCAGAAAGTCTCCTCCACATCCTCCCCGGGGTAATCTAAAAGCTCTTGGAGACTCCTAATCATAGAATGACAGAAAAGGAAAAGTGGCAAGTCAGACACTGCTGCAACAGTGTTTCTACTTCAGTTACATGTCCAGACCATTTCCAAGGAAAAACTATGAAAGAAGATTCTGGAATAAACATAAATCCGGACGGACAGAAAATCATGTACCTACACCTTGCAGAGAATTATGGCACTAGACCTATAAAACATTCATTAATTATTCTCTCTTCTTACCGACAAATCTTATTAGACTTGAAAAGAAAATCAGATGGATTTTTAATCTGACATACTTGTGTCCTCTTAACTCTGGTGTAGCTTGCAAGTGTGTGTGTATACATATAAATGAGGAGATGGTATTGCAGGGGCCCTCCAGCCAGCTTCACCGGCTTATGCATTAGTAAAATAATCCTTCCATCAGACAAAATTTAAAAAGCCACAAAGTCACCACATCCACAGGAATCTTAGTGGCTTACTTGTTAATGCAGAAGTCTCTATATGGTAAAGACCAGGGGTGCCCAATCTTTTGGCTTCCCCAGGCCACATTGGAAGAAGAATTGCCTTGGGCCACACATAAAATACACTCACACTAATTTTTTTTTTTTAAGAGATGGAGAGAGGAAAAGAAGTTGTTTTGAGAGGTTATGCATTGCACAGGCATAACAAGCTGCCAAATGTGTCCATAAAAATACATTATCTCTGTGTAATTCAGCATAAAACACTGCTGTCTTCAACAACAATATAATTTTAAAAGATTGATTTCAGACACTCCAAAAATTCACAAGCCAAGAAAACTGTCATAGTTGTTCACCTTCTTCCTAATGTTAACCAGTGAAAAAAGAGCTTCTTTTTAAATATTTTGAGACTGAAGAGACATAAAAGTAAGTCTGGTTTTATTATTAGTACACAGATAAAATATATATAGAAGAAAACACATCTTTACTTTTTTTCACCCAGTTAGACTGGCTTTATTATTATTATTATTATTTTACTTTAAGTTCTGGGATACTTGTGCAGAACGTGCAGGTTTGTTACATAGGTATACATGTGCTATGGTGGTTTGCTGCACCTATCAACCTGTCATCTAGGTTTTAAGCCCCACATGCATTAGGTATTTGTCCTAATGCTCTCCCTCCCGTTCCCACCTCCACCACCCGAAAGGCCCCAGTGTGTGATGTTCCCCTCCCTGTGTCCACATGTTCTCATTGTTCAACTCCCACTTATAAGTGAGAACATGCGGTGTTTGGTTTTCTGTTCCTGTGTTAGCTTGCTAAGAATGATGGCTTCCAGCTTCATCCATGTCCCTGCAAAGGACATAAACTCATTCATTTTTATGGCTGCATAGTATTCCATGGTGTGTATGTGCCACATTTTCTTTATCCAGTCTATCATTGATGGGCATTTGGGTTGATTCCAAGTCTTTGCTATTGTAAATAGTGCTGCAATAAACATACGTGTGTGCATGTGTCTTTACAGTAGAATGATTTATAAATCCTTTGGATATATACCCAGTAATGGGACAGCTGGGTCAAATGGTATTTCTGGTTCTAGATCCCTGTGGAATCGCCACACTGTCTTCCACAATGGTTGAACTAATTTACACTCCCACCAACAGTGTAAAAGCATTCCTATTTCTTCAGAGCCTTGCCAGCATCTGTTGTTTCCTGACTTTTTAATAATCTCCATTCTGACTGGCGTGAGATGGTATCTCATTGTGGTTTTGATTTGCATTTCTTTAATGACCAGTGATGATGAGCTTTTTTCATACGTTTGTTGGCCACATAAATGTCTTCTTTTGTGCTCGCTTCAGCAGCACATATACTAAAATTGGAACGATACAGAGAAGATTAGCATGGCCCCTGCGCAAGGATGACACGCAAATTCGTGAAGCGTTCCATATTTTTTGAAAAAAAGTCTTCTTTTGAGAAGCATCTGTTCGTATCCTTTGCCCACTTTTTGATGGGGTTGTTTTTTTCTTGTAAATTTGCTTAAGTTCCTTGTAGATTCTGGATATTAGACCTTTGTCAGATGGATAGATTGCAAAAATTTTCCCCATTCTATAGGTTTTCTGTTCCCTCTGCTGATAGTTTCTTTTGCTGTGCAGAAGCTCTTTAGTTCGATTAGATCCGATTTGTCAATTTTGGCTTTTGTTGCCCTTGCTTTTGGTGTTTTAGACATGAAGTCTTTGCCCATGCCTATGTCCTGAATGGTATTGCCTAGATTTTCTTCTAGGGTTTTTCTTCTAGGGTTTTGGGTTTTTACATTTAAGTCTTTAATCCATCTTGAGTTAATTTTTGTATAAGGTGTAAGGAAGGGGTCCAGTTTCTGTTTTCTGCATATGCCTAGCCAGTTTTCCCAGCACCATTTATTAAATAGGGAATCCTTTCCTCATTGCTTGTTTTTGTCAGGTTTGTCGAAAATCAGATGATTGTAGATGTGTGGTATTATTTCTGAGGTCTCTGTTCTGTTCTATTGGTCTATATATCTGTTTTGGTACCAGTACCATGTTGTTTTGGTTACTATAGCCTTGCAGTATAGTTTGAAGTCAAGTAGCGTAATGTCTCCAGCTTTGCTTTTGCTTAGGATTGTCTTGGCTATATGGGCTCTTTTATGGTTCCATATGAAATTTAAGGTAGTTTTTTCTAATTCTGAACAGAAAGTCAATGGTAGCTTGATGGGAATAGTACTGAATCTATAAATTACTTTGGGAAGTAGGCCATTTTCACAATATTGATTCTTCCTATCCATGAGCATGGAATTTCTTTCCATTTGTTTGCGTTGTCTCTTATTTCTTTGAGCAGTGGTACACTAACACTAATGACAGCTAATGAACTAAAGAAGAAAAACTGCAAAAAAATCTCATGATGTTTTAAGAAAGTTTGTGAGTTTGTGCTGGGCTGCATTCAAAGCCGTCCTGGACCACACACAGCCTGCAGGCCGAGGGTTAGACAAGCTTGGTAAAAACACTTTATTATCTCTGTCACACTAACTAAAGAATAATGAAAAAAAGTACTCTTAAAAGAAGAATATGTTTATGGCAACAACAATCATATCCCAGCTCTCAAGAGAATACATTCTTATAACTAGCTCTCATTCACACTTTCTTCTTTAGTGAGCTCCAGT
Organism: Homo sapiens; assembly: GCF_000001405.40. NCBI lineage: Eukaryota > Metazoa > Chordata > Mammalia > Primates > Hominidae > Homo > Homo sapiens. The sequence goes on along the minus strand of NC_000004.12, from coordinate 88,683,628 downwards.
CTTGCAATTCTATCAAGAGTTGCCTGGAAAGAGAAGTCCTAGTGTGGAATTTAAATCTGCCACCAGTTAATCAGCCAAAGTCATTACTTGAAATACATAATTCTCAGCCACATAAGCAAAGTAAGGGACACACATTTCTGTTGCTCTCTAGCCTTTTCTTTCAGTTACCAAAAAATTAACACTGTCTGGGTCTCCTGTGCCACTTTTTAGTATTACTTCTAAGTTTTTTCTTCCACTCTGTGTGTCCTCCCATCCTTTATAGTTTCTCAGTATTGGTGTCCTATATGAGAGGGATACTCTCATTTATGGAGGGTACCTTCATCAGTATCCCTTCTCTACAAAAAGATGTTCCCTCCCGTTAAAGTTGTCCTTTTATATACTTGATCTGATGTGACCCAAAACCAATACAGAGAAACTCAAGAATAAAAGGAATTTTAAGAGCCAGAAAGAGAATAACATAACCCCATCAACAAGTGGGCAAAGGATATGAACAGACACTTCTCAAAAGAAGACATTTATGCAGCCAAAAGACACATGAAAAAATGCTCATCATCACTGGCCATCAGAGAAATGCAAATCAAAACCACAATGAGATACCATCTCACACCAGTCAGAATGGCGATCATTAAAAAGTCATGAAACAACAGGTGCTGGAGAGGATGTGGAGAAATAAGAACACTTTTACACTGTTGATGGGACTGTAAACTAGTTCAACCATTGTGGAAGTCAGTGTGGCGATTCCTCAGGGATCTAGAACTAGAAATACCATTTGACCCGGCCATCCCATTACTGGGTATATACCCAAAGGATTATAAATCATGCTGCTATAAAGACACATGCACACGTATGTTTATTGCGGCACTATTCACAATAGCAAAGACTTGGAATCAACCCAAATGTCCAACAATGATAGACTGGATTAAGAAAGTGTGGCACATATACACCATGGAATACTATGCAGCCATAAAAAATGATGAGTTCATGTCCTTTGTAGGGACATGGATGAAGCCGGAAACCATCATTCTCAGCAAACTATCACAAGGACAAAAAACCAAACACTGCATGTTCTCACTCATAGGTGGGAATTGAACAATGAGAACACATGGACACAGGAAGCGGAACATCACACACTGGGGCCTGTTGTGGGGTGGGGGGGTCGGGGAAGGATAGCATTAGGAAATACATCTAATGTTAAATGACGAGTTAATGGGTGCAGCACACCAACATGGCACATGTATACATATGTAACTAACCTGCACGTTGTGCACATGTATCCTAAAACTTAAAGTATAATTTAAAAAAAATAAAATGAAAATAAATATAAATATAAAAAAAATGTGGCTCTACTACTTTGGGAACATCGTGGAAGTTCCTCAAAAGGATAAATACAGAGTTACTCAGCAATTCTACTCCTAGGCATATACCAAGAGAAATGAAAACTTGCATTTGTACAAAAACTTGTGCACAAATGTTCATGGCAGTATTATTCATAATAGTCAAAACTGGAAACAACCCAATGTCCATCAACTGATGAATGGATAAATAAAATGTGGCATATCCATATAACAAAACACTATTTGGCAGTTTAAAAAATAAAATACAGTTGGCCCTTCATATTCACATGTTCCACATCCATGGATTCAACCAAAGGCCAATCAAAATTATAGTATTTGCAGAGAGGTTGACTGATGGGCGCAAATTACATTTTGATAGAAGAAATATGACCTAGTATTTGATAGATCAGTAGGATGACCATAGTTTACAATAATCTATTGTATATTTCAAAATAGAATAATTCGAGTGTTTCTAACATAAAGAGAAATATTTAAGGTGATGGATATCCCAGTTACACTGGTTTGAACTTTACAAATTATATAATGTATTATATTATCACATGTACCCCCAAAATATGTGTATCTATTTTGCCTCAACAACAAAAACAGTTTAATTAAAGAAAGAAAATACAGTATTTGCAGGGTGTAAAACCCAAGGATATGGAAGGTCAACTTTTCCAATCCATGGGTTCTTCTAGGGCCCCTGCAGGACTTGAGCACATGTGGATTTTGGTATCTGCAGGTTGTCCTGGAACTAATACCCCTCGGATACCGATACTGTACCGATAACACAGGCAATGTCTCAAGCAAGTAGCTGCACAGCTACATCTTAGACAAAACACACATAACAGGGTCTAACCACAGGATGCAATAAACTCAGATTTGTACAGATGGTATTTTCAACCTTTAATCCTCATGCCAGAGGCAGCCACAACAGTTTCAGATACCAATCGCCTTTTAGCTTTGTACCTTCCTTCAGTGGGTGACAACTCCTTTAAGTCTTCCAAGCCAGGCTTTACATTGAGTAACTTCTTGTAGAGAGCCAATGGGAAGTGGAGATCGACCACAGTGGAGTTGTAGATAGCTAGTCCACAGGTTATACCAATCAAGTGAAACCAGTTGTGCTCTACAAAACACTTTTTAGGACACATACAAATGTGTTAAAAAGAAATGCAATGTTTCTGGCCTTCAAACATTCTACCATTTCCCTCAAAATATTTTCAAAATAAAAGAATAAAGGTCTCATTAATATTTAGTTACCTTCTGTAGCAAAGAAACACCCTGACAAAAGTTGTTATCCCTTAAAGATGCAATGTAGACAGAGTTAAGCATTTGTACCTAGTGATACAGAGAACAGCTCACAGTCATCTAGAGCAGGGCCATCCAACAGAACTTTCAGCCATTATAGAAACATTCTATTCTGTCCCATCTTATATGGTAGCCACTGGCTACATGTGTCTACTAGGCACAGGAAATGTGGCTAGTACTATGGAGCAAATGAATCTTTGCTGTTACTTACTTTTAAATAAATAATATATAAATAACCACATGTGGCTAGTGCCTAGTGGCTACCTTTTGGTATGGTGCAGATCTAGGAAGAAAACTCTCATAGAAAAAAATGTAAATGACAGTCTGATTGAAATTAGAACGCCTTTAAAAACTTAGCTCTCCTACTGAAGTTTCAAAAATAAAGTGTGCATGCACATGTGTGTGAAAATATATTATCATAGTTATTAATATCAGACATATTTGATTATTGACCTTCCATATGTCACAAAACCAATTTATCACAGTTTCCTTTTACCCTTCTCAGATAACAAGACTTGGATCTTACCTACTAGAAATGGAAATGGGACTGAAGGCTCACAAAATGCACTATGAGGTCTTGGAAACAAGTATAAATGAAGACTGGATAAACATTTTAATTACTTATAAACATTTTGAATTATTATCCTTGTTATGTTCCCCTTTGCAAAGTTAGAAGTTAGGGGATTGGTCTGACAACAAAAAGAAAGTTTAATTTAATCCATCTGTTTAATTGTGACACCACTTACTTACCGTGTCTGAAAACCACAAGAGATTTGAATCTTGATAGTAGGTAAACATTCCATAGATGGGATTCAAAAGTTCTTTTAACAGCAAAAGAAAAAATTCCTTTGTAACACCACCGGCATCCACTGCTTCTTCACCATCAAAGATTACCTTAAAATAATAGAATAGAATTAATGCTTCCGGGAAATCTATGACACATTTTATCTCTTTTTAGCAGACCATTTTCTAAACTCAGGACAAAGGAAGGAAAGCATAACAAAGAATACACACTGATGCAATGAAAACTGCAAGGTGTGTCTGTTGATTATTGCTGGTGAAGTTTTAGCAAGGTACTTATAGATACATACAATTTTTACTAGGTGCTTCAAGGGATACAAAGGAAGTCAGAAATTTACCATGTGTCCTTAGAAAGTCTACCATCTATTGGCTGGGCGTGGTGGCTCACGCCTGTAATCCTAGCACTTTGGGAGGCCGAGGCAGGCAGATCACCTGAGGTCAGGAGTTCGAGACCAGCCTGGCAAACATGGTGAAAACCTGTCTCTACTAAAAATACAAAAATGAGCCTGGCATGGTGGTGGGCACCTGTAATCCACTACTCGGGAGGCTGAGACAGGAGTGTCGCTTGAATGTGGGAGGCAGAGGTTGCAGTGAGCCGAGATCGCACCACTGCACTCCAGCCTGGGCAACAAAGAGCGAAACTCCGACAAAAAAAAAAAAAAAGGTCTACCATCTACTTAAGCGCAGAAAGACAAACATAAAAGAAGCAGAGAATACTTTTTATTTTTAAAGAGTCAAATATATAATGAGAGGTAAATATTCTGGCACATAGAAAAAAATGATTTTTCATTTAACTTGAATAAAAGAACACTTTCTGGGAGAAATCACGCTCAATAGGGTTCTTGAAGTAACTGCTGCATGTAGAAGAGAAGAGGGTATTCTAATCAGACACAGACATGGGCTCTGTGAGGGAGTGGAAGTGGGCATGATGGATACATAATGGTTATCAACAGTAACAACTACAGCAAATCAACAAATGACATGGAGTTTACTACATGCCAGCTGTTAAACTCTGTAAACCTAATCCTCAGAACAGCCTTATGCATAGGGTACTATTATCATCCCCATTTCATAGATAATGACTCGGGCAGAGAACTAAAAACAGCATTCAACAAAGCTTACACTTGTGGCTGTCTTCAAGATTGCCTAGAGCAGGACAAGAGTAAAAATGGGACAGAGACTGGGACCTGGATTACACAGATGCCAGAAGAATACTGCTACAAAGTAAGAACTGCCTCACCTGAATTACCTATTGAAAACAGGGCAAAAAGAAAAGCTGTGTCAAAAATATAACCCAGAAGTTCTGGGAAGAACAACCAGGCAGATTGATACGACTGATGCTACTTATTAGGAATTTTGGAAAGGGTAAAAATATTATGGAGATGATCAGTTCATTTCATGCCTATTACATTTCTGAAAGTGGAACTCATAACAAGATTAGCAATAGGGATATGGAAGTTGTCTGAGGGAAAAGATGAATGACTTTAAACAATTTCATATAATTCACTAAGTATTTCTGGAATACCTACTGTGTACCAAACATTATGCTAAGCCCTGGAAATATGCATGATATATGGAGAGAGAAATTTTTTTTCACTTAATAATTTACAGGTACTAGGTGTGCCTCTCATAATAGGCCAATAGCTTCCCAGATGATTTTACTACCTTTCCATTTTCCTATTTTACCTTCTTTCTCTTAAATCTTTGATATCTACAATCTTCCTAAATGATAGCTTAATAGTGGTAATTAGTCAAAGCTTTCGTTTCTGTTGTTGTTTGCTTGTTTTTGATAGAGCTAGAACTGGTACACCAAAGACAGCAGAAGACAAAGAAAGCACTCTAATCTTTCAAATAATCCACTGGCATTTTTATCCAATGTTACATTGAGGTGTTCTGTTTGGTGATTTGACAAAAGTAGGTGATTAAATTCTTGCAAAATGAATGAAAGAATGGCTGCACCCCACAATTTTAATAAGATCACTGCTGCTTAATCAACACTGTTCAAAGAAAAATTGCGAAGGTATTTAGAGGAATATCCTGAAGGAACTCACTTTGAGAGGCTTTTTCAAATCAATATCAGAATGAATGCTCAGCTCTCTTAGGGCATCTCCAACAAGGTTGTTCCTGCGAACGTGAAGGACCAGGAAGGGGCTTCTGGCCAGCAGAGGCTCCAGGGTGAGAAGCATGAAGACATTCTGCAGGTTGGCTCCATTGACTGCCACCTGGAATGGCACAGTCAAGAAAGCAATTACTCAGAGCACACGTGTGAGTTGGGAGAGCAGTCAGCTGTGCTTCTGGACTTGGGGGCGCTGACTGCATCTCCATTTTGTTAATTTTTTTCCCTCTTAACTTCCACAGATTTTCTAAGTTACTTATGTTTACACAGCACTCAAGTCTTTCTAATCTGGACTCACAGAAATTAACTAAAACAGTTTATGAATCATATGATCTATAATCAGGTCCAGGAAAGTGACTTAAACTAGCTGATTAATACTAAAATAGTATCATGCTTGAAGAAACATGGTAGAAAGTGGGTAAAAACCACAACTTTCAAAATGGCAGGAAAAGAAAGCTAATAACCACTTGTTAAAAAGAGTTATTCTTTGAAAAATGTTCATTTCTCTTGAAAATCTCTAAACTGTCAATATCACAGATATAGCAACATGAAAACAAACATATATATAGATAGATGCAGTCGAGCTGGAAAGAGACAGACAAGCAGACAGTCAGAGAGATGGAGAGGGAAAGATAAATGAAGTTATGTATCTGTATCTACCAATGGTAGGAAGTGGAGGATTTGAGCCGCTAATTCACAAACGTTTTTGTGGCTTGTCAAAATCAATTATACTTTATAATAAAAATGTGTATTTAAAATAAATTATTAAGTAAATCTCTATAACAAGTTTTTATTCAACAAAGAATTCCCAAGTTCCATTTAATTCTCTATGTCAGGAGTCAGCAAACTGAGGCCCCACACATCAAATCCAGCCTTCTGTCTGTTTTTGCTTAGCTTTTGAGCTATTAATGGTTTCTACATTTCTTTTTTTTTTTGAGACAGAATCTTGCTCTGTCGCCCAGGCTGGAGTGCAGTGGCGCAATCTCGGCTCACTGAAACCTCCACATCCCGGGTTCAAGTGATTCTCCTGTCTCAGCCTCCCGCGTAGCTGAGATTACAGGTGGGTGCCACCACGGCCAACTAAGTTTTGTATTTAGAGACAGGGTTTTACCACGTTGGCCAGGCTGGTCTTGAACTCCTGACCTCTGATAAGCCTGCCTCGGCCTCCCAAAGTGTTAGGATTATAGGCATGAGCCACTGCACCCGGCATGGTTTCTACATTTTTTTAATGGGTGAAAAAAATTAAATGAAGAATAATCTTTCACCACATGTAAAAATTATATAATATGCAAATTTCAACATACATAAAGTTTTGTTGGAATATAGCCATGCTCATTCATTTATATATTGTCTATCACTGCTTTTGTGCTAAAATAGAGTTGAATAGTTGTAACAGAGACCATACGGTTCCCAAAGCTTAAAACATTTACTAAGTCATCCTTTTGCCAATCTCTAATCTACACAAATGTGTATTCACCTATGTGTGTTATATTCAACACAAAATTACTGAAAAGTTTCAAACAGTTTTAAGAATTACAATGGAATTTCAACCAAATATGTTTTCTCCTACTAGAAAAAATTACAACTGAATGTCTAGAATGGGAGAAACACAGTAAAAAGAAGAAATAATTTCTAAAATATGATACCTGCATCTGTAGTTCAGCATCTGTCTGTAACATTTTGGTCTTGGCTTGGGCATCAAAGATGAAAGGGTAGGAACAAAGTGTTACAGTATCCTAGAATAAAGCACATTATTGACAGTATTATACTATTCCACAGAAAGTATAGCTGGAAAAATATAAAAGCAAATTTAAAAAGGATCATTTACCTGTATTATTGATGGTCTAGCCTTCTGTGTAAAGAAAAATAAAAAGTCTCTTACTTAAATTGTAAACCCTGAATTTTAATCCCTCCAAAAGTAAAATATAAATAACAAAACACAGAACCAATCTGACTACTGGCCATAGAACTAACACCATTTGAATGGCTGACTAAATTTTGAGGGAAAAGATGTTTTGATGGCCACAGAATGAGAAAAAGAGCAAAAGCAATTAAAAAACATTTTCTTATGACCGTTAAAGGGCATGTCACTAACTCTCCACAATTCACAGCATTAATAGAATTCTCTTTTATAAGCAATCTAATTCCAAAACAGGAGCTTTACAACCTTGACTTCACAGGTTAATTTTTGTTGGGTAAAGTGGACAATACAAATTAGATTTTATTTGTTAAATGATGTTGCATCTTCCTACACACACACACACATACACACAGGCTGCTACTCTTAGGAGAAACCAAGTATTTGGAAAGAATTTCAGGTCTTTCTAAAAAGAACTTTATCTAGTAAGCTGTCACTGACTCAGCACTTAGACTAGTACTTGGCTTACAGAACACATTCCATCAATACGTGAATGCACCTGTGAATAAACTTTGGAGGGGAGTAATGGTAAAAAACCCACAACCACAATGAAGGACATCTAGGAGATATGTTATAGGTTCACTTTTTGTTAAGTTACGTAACAAACATTAACTTAATATTAACTTAATAGAAACAATAAAAAATCAACAATATAGGTTATGTTGATCTGTAGCAAGAATTCTCAAAAAGAAAACCATGGGTGTATTCTCAGAGATCTGGGAGTGCTCTATATTATTTCTTAATGATATCCTAAACAAAATTAGTAAAACACATTAAGTTACATTTGTTTGAATAACTGCATTGGCATCATGTTATTATTTAATCGTCCAGGTGTAGTGAGAAAAGAGAGAAGCAGTCTTGGCATGTGGATGCTCCATCTGCACCTAAGAAAAGGCCAGTGTGGTCCTGGCTTGCTGCATAAACATGGTTTAACAGCAGTTGAAGGAGAAAACAGAGGCGAGTCATCCCAGCCAGATGGGCAGTGGAACTCAAGCACCAGGGCCTGACAGCAGGCAGGCCACATCCACAATGCAACTAGGGTTTGGGTTCAGTAAGACATGTTTGATCATCACATAAAATCAATGAGGCTAATCTGCATTTTATTGCTGTTAGAGTTTTGTTTGTATTTAATTTATAAATTTGGTTTGGTTTTATAATTGTACTATATCAGTAGTATGCGAATAAGCAGCATGTGCCTCCTCTTGTCCTTATGGATATTTAAATAAAATCATTTATAAGCAATTTTAATTAAAATCTACCCTGTTAACCCTTTATAACTAGGTTCCTCCAGGGATCTTGGCACATTTCTCTAGACAGAGAAACACTAATTGAAGAAACAATTCCAGTCCAGTGAGATCAGGTATGAAATCCTGCATATATAATCCAGACCAATCTTACTCACTCTCATGCCTACATATCCAATTACTTTGAAGTTAGAAATCAAGATGACTAAAAACAAAAAAACAAAACCACACCATAAAACAGCACTATACAAAGCTAAGTCATCTTCTAGTCTAGGTACCTACAAAAGATATAAGCATCCTGGGAAAGAAAGTAGGCTTAAAACTGGTGCCAATATTCAGAATTTCCTAATCTGTCTCTCAGAAGAGATTAGTTTATGCAAAGCATTATCTGCCTATTCTCAAGGGAAAAGAAAGATCTTGAATGTGTGTTGGTCTATAAAGCAAGATAAAGTTTTAGATATTTCAAATATAAAAGTGACTGTGGAAGAAGTGATAATAAAAACAGTTCTGGCATTACAGAGTCCGAGCCTACTTAGTATTTTTAAGTACATACTGACATTTTAGTTGGTGTAATGCAGTTATTTCAGACATCAATCAGCAGTTTTGTCTGTATTCCTTGGCTCTTTCCAGTCCCACTCCTGTTCTCTGACTCTCTCCCCCCACCCTCTTCCTGTAACCCCCACCTTGAGCCTCCCTGCACCCCTTAAATACCCAGCTTCGGCAGCTTGTAGTCCCTCTAAGCATCCCTCACCTGACCCCTTCCCACACCCCAGAGGTGAAGGAACCCAGATTTGGAAGCGGGCTGATCTTTCTACTGGAGAAGGGGAGGAGTTAAATTGAGGGCAGGGTCACCATTCTCTCTGTTGAGTGGGATGGCTGGGAAGAAATCCAAAACTGCCTCAGTTAGGAGCCACAGCCAAAGCCAGAGAGACACTGCCCAGAGCTGGTGGTCTAGAGAAGTCTCAGGTGAGCCAGCAAGGCAGGCAGGAAGATATGGAAGCCTTACAAAACAGAAGTGCCAACTCTAAGGAAGGCAAAGGATGGAGCGATATTCAGTCAAAAGAAGCCGCGAATCTGTAGCAAAGGTCTGCTTATACATCCACAGACTTTTTGTAAGTCTGTAAGTTTTTGTATTTGATATATAATAATTTAATTTCATTAATTTTTATTCTGTGAATACTGAATATTTTAGAAATTGTACTCACACTGGTATTTCCATATTATACAAAATAAATCTGCATGATTTTGTGCCACTATTGCTATTCATAACCTAGAAGGATGCATACGAACTGATAAGATACATGATTATCTCCTGAGAGGCTACTTGTCTTGGACTATCCATTCCTCAAAAATGAGTATCACAGACTTAAAACTAGTAAAGTACTAGTGGACCATATTTCAAGTCTCCCTGCCTGAAACGGGGCTGCACTGTGACCTAAGCTCATTTTTAAAGTATATGAAATAGAAGCAATGAATAAGTAAATGGGATAGAACAGAAAAATTGGGAATATCATTTTTTTTTAAATACGAAGTCAACATCTCCTAAATGTGGCTGCAAGTGGGGCAGGAGGCACTACACGCACACCTGCAGTGCTGGAGAAGAAATACAGCCTCCTCTGCCTTAGTGCCTGTCTTGTCTCACACGTGCACAATACTCATAACTGGGGACAAAACACTGCCTGGCTGCGTCTCCTTTAACACATACAGCAAGATGTCGAGCTTTATCTAGCTTTTATTTTTTAAGTATTTACACTGTGGCACTGACTTTCCCCACTTGTGCTGCCCTCTAGAGGAGCCCACCACTCATTCACTCTGTGCTATTTGGTTTTTAAGTGCAGATAATGGCAAGTTACTGATTGAAGTAAAGGAACCACTACCACCTCTTCTTTAAAAGGAGTAAAAATCAGCCACTTTAGAATGTTCCTTCTGCACACATGTGTTAGATCCCTTTGCAATTTTTCACTGCTGCTTCTGGGCTAAACACTCTGCAAAGGTAGACACCATATCCATACATGTTTCCACTGTGACTAGCAGGCAGATGGCACACATTAGGTACTCAAGAACTGCTTCGTGAAAAATATTTATTGAGGGCTTATTATATGCTAAGTACTCTGCTAAGCAAGGTCTTTCCATGCTTTCTCCCATTTAATTTCCACAATCTGTTATAATTCTTACTCACAAAAGAGGATGCTGGGCCTATAGAAATTAGGTAACTTGTCTAAGGCCATGGCCATTAGACCAGAGTAAGGAACTGAACCCAGGTCTTTTTGACTGGAGCATGTGCTCAATAATATACTACACAGCCTCAGCTATTAACAAGCTAAAAATGCCAACACACATCAAAAAAATCCATCTATTATTTAAAAGTAGTTAAACAAAAATAACATATGAAATAGCTTTAGTATTTTAAATTAAACTTCAAAATATCAAGACATTTAAAATTCAATTTCTAATAGCATTGTACCTCATACAATAAAAAAAATTCCACAAAAATCACAAAAGGCCATATACTAATTTCATGTAATTTTCCATATTTCTTTAATAACTATTATAGTTATTGAAGAGATGAGCATCTGTTATTCAAGATCTGATAAGATATTTATCAAATGTTAAAAGAAAGGAAGTTTAAAATATTGTAAAAGTTACTTAAATATCTCTACTCAGAGACTACTGTCATAATAATCTAGATTTTAACATGAGCAACTTCTTTTTCAGAGTAAAAAAGAATTACAATTTGTTAGACTTATTTTATTCAGCATCAAGTCACAGAAAGGGTAGATTAGAAATCAGAAGAATTGACTTTTACTGCTACTAATGAAATTAGTGGAAAAATTGTTTAACTTCCATTTCCTCATCTAGAAACAAAGCAGTTGGACTAAATAATTCATCAGGCTTATTTTTCTGCTCATAATGTTATTATTCAGTGAATAATTATTCATAAATTGATAAAACAGAAGGGCTTATTTTTTAATAATTCCTAAATTTGAAAGTGAAAACAGAGTTCATTACTAGCCTCCATGTTAAATTTCCCAAGTCAGCCCATTTAGAACACTCTAACTCATTTATATTAAAAAGTATTTTCCTGGCCAGGCACAGTGGCTTACCCCTGTAATCCCAGCACTTTGGGAGGCCGAGGCTGGTGAATCACTTGAGCTCATGAGTTCAAGGCCAGCTTGGGAAACATCACAAAACCCCATCTCTACAAAAAATACAAAAATTAGCCAGGCATGATGGCACGCACCTGTAGTCCCAGCTACTCGGGAGGCTGAGGTGGGAGAATGGCTTGAGCCTGGGAAGCAGAGGTTGCAGTGAGCCAAGATGGTGCCACTGCACTCCAGCCTGGGTGATAGAGCCAGACCTTGTCTCAAAAAAAAAGTATTTTGTTTTCTCAGGGTAATCATAAAATCTTATTTAAAAATAAAACATTGTATGCATTTTTTAAGTCTCTAGAGAAAAAAATACAACATTGTGTCTAGCATTCATCATCTATTATTTGACAAAGAAAACAATCCTTCTTGTTCAGTTAGATCAGCCTATTTAAATGTCTTGCTTTTGGAGACAACTGCTGACTTCCAAAAACCCCACAGGAAAAATATTGCCCTAATACTGGTGATGAACCTGCTACACTGGCAAGGACTCACCTCAAATCTGCTGCACATGGCTTCACAAAATACAATAACCAAATTATCATTCTGTTTTCTGACCTAACTCAAATTTGCACATACTCCACAGATGGGAGATCCTAAAGAGCCTTGCATATATCCCAAGCTGGTGTGCTATCAAAAGGAGCAGTTCCTGCCACGCCAGAGGTGGTAGGCAGGAATCCACAGGCCCCTGAATGGCATATCTAAAATACGGTGAGACAGCACTTGGTCAGGGATGTGTGACACTTTCACACACATAATTCTCAATCAGAAGGGGCCTACGGGGTCCAGGTAGCTGACATATGATGACTGGAGTAGGCTGTCAGAAGATGATAATTAGCAAATGACCCTTCCTCAATGTCAGGGATAAATTACGCTGCAGTGGGAATTGTGGCATATACATAAGCCTCATCTAAAGAGTCACTCTTGAACTCCAGCCACTTGGTGTCATATGGGAAGACAGGTCGTGTTGCCAGATCTTCCAAGTTTTGAGGAAAGCTAAAAATTCATATTTGTATGTGTCTTGTTTTTTTAATTATGGTTTAAAAAAAAACCTAACATAACATGTACCATCTTAAGCATTTTTAAGTGTACACTTTCAGCAGTGTTAAGTATAGTCACACTGGTGTACAATTGGATCTCCAAACTTTCTTATCTTGCAAAACTGAAGCTATACTCATTAAATAGCAACTCTCCATTTTCCCCTGCCTCCAGCCCCTAGCAATCACCACTGTACTTTCTGTTTCTGTGGATTTGACTACTTTAGATACTCTGATTTTTTTAAAGGGGGCAACTGATAAAATGTGTAACATTCTGGGTGACTACTCATTTATGACTCCTTATAACATTGATGATTACTTAAAGCACTTCCAAGTTTCTAGAATGCAAAAGGCCAGCTGGATGAAGAATAGGTGACACACTGACATCAAAGTCAAAGACATATTATACAGCTCACATGTGCTTTTCTTATAAAAAGACTAAAGCTTTAAAATATGCTTTATGAATTCTTACCATCCCTGCTTGATGCAAGAACCACATGAGGTAGTCTTCCTGAATGTCCACGAGATTGGAAATCTCAGGAATGTAAAATGTATCATATTCCACATGCTTCACTTTAAGATTTACCTAATGAAGAACAAAATACAGACAACTGAAACATGGCTTCCCAGAGAACATCTCACTAGGACATTTTACCCTACCATCTAATCACCCCCTCCCCACTAGCACCTCCTATGCTCACCTTATATAACTTCTCCAAGAGTTTGAGAGCTGCTGTGATATAATTGTTAAACAGTACGGGAATTAAGAATGTCTTTCTTCCCCTCAGTAGATAAAGGACTGCACCTTTATAGAGGTTTACCAGCTTCATGAAATATTTCGGGCATACCTGAGACCACCAGTTATCTTTAGAAAGAAAGAAAAGACATATTTCAACATGTAATCTTGGGCAAGTATTTATGTCTTCTGCCTGCCAGTTAAAAATTGCTTTGTCTAGAAGATAAACATTAGTCTAAAATACATTTTCCCAAAACTGACTTTAAAAAGAATCCATTAAAACCTTTTTGGGGAGAACAACAGCTGTAAAAGAATCCCTGGAGCTTTTTTTGTAAAGCCTGGTCTGATTTTTTGCAAAGACTCAATCTGAAGGTTAACTTAAAAGTCCAATTCCAGACTACATGTGGACAAGATACACATATTTTGGGCAGGAGTGATGCCCAATGTATTAATCCAAAAAGCATTCTTATGTCCTAGCGCTTTCAGCCATCACTAAATCCTGAAGCAGAAATGCAAAGGATGACGCACCACATACCCTAGAAGCAGCACCAATATGGCAACCATTCCCTTCCCTTTAAGAGGTATCATTAGTTGAAAAACTACGATTTTTACTTCTCACCAAAAAATGCTTTCTCATAACCAGACAAGAAGATATACCACTGGCTTATACTTCGTTGGAAATAAACTCAGCCATACTGAAATACTTAAAGAATGAAATAGTATGTCTGAGATTTCCTTTAAAATACTCCAACAAAAAATAAAAAGGTGGTGAGGGCGAGGGACAGATGAAATAAAATGGGCAAAATACTGACAACTGCTGAATTTGTGTGGTGACTACCTGTAGCATACTCTCTACTTTGGGGTATTCTTTTAAATATCAATAATTAGAAGTTAAAAATAAAGTGTAAAATTGAACAATTATGTTCTCTTTGTATTTTCCAGCCTGGAAAAATAAAAATGAAAAAACTCTAAAACTTGAAAGTCAGGTAAGATTTCTTCTGATATTGCCACCTCTCTGTTTCACATCAACTAGAACACCTGAGAAAATGTGCCCCCAAAAGGCTTTTGATCTTAAAAAAAATTAAGTACTAACATTTACTAGTGCTTTCATTATTATTTCTGTTTTTATCTCTTCTACAAAGGTGGAGGCAATATAGAAAAGCCAGTATTCCACCTTCAGGAACACAATCTCTTTATTCACGGCGAGACCACACTCAAGTAACATCCCAGTCCATCTGGAACACAGAAGTTACTGAGCTGCAATGACACCTAACAAAATTTACCAGGGGGGAAAAAAGTAAAAAGCCAGGTGATAGACTTCCTGCACTTGAGTAATAAAAACATTTCAGGTGCTACTCCCATGAAAGACACTCTCCAAATCACTGAGGAATGGAAGGTTTTTATCTCAGCAAAGTGTCCGGAGCCTGCAAAAATCAGTGTGGACTCAACGGTCCTAAAAAAGAAAAACAAAACAAACATTTGGTAAGTCCACACTAGGTCATTTTCTTCCTCTCCTGTTTTGGAGACCTCTGTATCACCGAAACTGTTCACTTCACTCCCACCCCCTAAATTAGACATAGGAGAAAGACCAACGTACAGTAATACTGAGGTACTGAGCAAATGTGGTAGAAAAAAATAGTTTCAAGTTAAATAAATTAGGTTTGTGAATACTATAAAATCAAGATTATTCTGGCATGAGTCATTTCAAATAATCTAAATAATGGTTTTATTTTCAACTTGAAAATAGGGTTAGCTAAAAATTAACAGCAAAGAAAAAAAGGTTTTAAGTGTTAAGGATATTAAATGGCAACAAATAGATTCTTGGATCTCAATCCACTGAGAGCCAGGAGTCACACCAACAAAACAAATGACCATAAAACCACTGATATCGAGGTTAGCAAATTCACCTAGTACTTTGCTGGGGTTTGTATCCAGCCGAAGAATGGCCATAGCCAAGGGAATAGTCAATGTTATATAATACTTGGAATCCTGGAGTAGGGGAAACTCAGGTAGTATTAAATAGATTCTCATGGCTTCAACATCTGGTGGTGAGCTTGACAACTGGGGAATCAGACAACTTTCAAAACTGTTCAAAATCTGTATGAGGGAAAAGAGTAATGAGAAATTCAAACATACTTGAGATCTAGTTAACTTTCTCTAAGTTCATAAGCTATTTGATAGACTCTCAACTCTCATTCATTCACTATGCACTGAGAACCTACTATGAGCCTGACACTGGTCTAGGCCCTCAGTACACATCCATGAAAAGAAAAGCCAAAGATCCCTGCCAGTGCAAACTGTATATTCTAGAGGGGCATTGCCTTGGAAAGGTTTAAGCCAAAAGAAAGCAAAAGGTAGGTCTAATTCCCAGAGTAAATACTTTACAAAATTAAGATTTGGAGACTTTCACTTTTTCATCTTACTCTTTTTCTCTTGAAGTTGAATTCATCGATACAAAAATGCATTTTTAAGAATGCACTTTACAAATATAGAAACATACCTGTTCTAGAATCATGGAGTGCTGAGAGTTCATTAACTTCTCAAATAACACCCTAGTTGAGTTCAGGTCAATCCCAGGGATTTTGGGACTCGTTTTAAAATGTTCATCAATTCTAAACAAACAAAATCAAAAAGGTATATAATAAAAGAAAAAGCAAACACTCTGATAGGAATTATAAACAAGTAAAATACTGTGTTCTTAGTAATCAGATTTAAATTTGATCTGGCAGATAAGATCCACAAAAATACTACACTTTGCATAAATCTCAAAATAATAAACCCAAAATACAGAATATTATTCTTTCACAAAGAATAAACCACACTGGAATTCCTTTTACAAGAATTTTCAAATTTTTAAATCTGTTTTCCTTCAAGTCAAAGTACAAGGACTGTCATATCAAGTTAAGGCTATCTTGAAGTTTATAAACAAATAATTATTTCCCTGATTTCATCTTGTGTTTTTTGGTTTTTTTCTGTTTTTGTGGCTCATTGAACTAGATGTAGATGCTGTGGCTTGGTACAAATAACGTCCCCTGTGCAAACTGGTCCACTCATCAACAAATGACAGTAGAACTTCCTTGTTGAAAGCCTTTCTTACCAAAGTATTTAAAATAAAAATGATCTATAGTAAATGCAAAGTTAATGTCTCTCATCGTTAACACAAAGGATACAATTACATTCACCCAAGGACTAATTTCATTGCCACTATTTTTAACTTTCTAGCAACTAAATCATTTTTTTAACCTTAAATAAAATCTTAGCATTTTTGAGACTTAGAGAATATCTCATATATCCTGCTCTTGAACATACCACATTTGTTAATTTACAAAAGAGCTATCTATTTGCAAAGCAGGCTTCTGTTTTTGAGTAATGGACACATTCAGATGATTTTAATACACTCTGACAGCAATGTTATAATTTTTGAAAACATAAGAGTTTCTAACATTTTTTAAAAATCATAATTATATGTATCGGAACCCTATGCTCAAATGAAGATAAATTGCTTGTACTTTGTTTTTTGGGTCTTTCGTTGTTGTTGTTATTGTTTTTAAAATAAATCTGCCCAAAATATAGAAATGAATTCTGGTTTCCCATATGTAATTTTCCATATGCTTTTTGCTATGCTGTTGAGAAAACAAAAACAAAATGTTTTATCTATACGTATTTATTGCTTTGTAAATCTGGTCTTCATTTTGATTGGTTTCCTGAGATGCATCCTATGTACGCTACAGGAGTAGACTTTCTGAAATACACAGATGTCAGTTTGAAAAAAAATAAAAGGCTTTCCCCACAACTCTATACGAAATCTGTGATACTAAGGATGAACAACCTAACAAGTCTGGCCAAGAGCCCTTCCCAAATGTCATGAAAGCTATCCATCTAGAACGGGGTTTCTCAACCTTGGTACTATTGACTTTTGGGACCAGAGGATTCTTTGCTGGGCAGGTGGGAATGAAGGATGTTTAGCAGCATCGCTGGGTTCTACCCACTGGATGCCAATAGCAAGTCCCTCCCCATTGTACCAACCAAAAATGTTACCAGAAATTGCCAAATGTCCTTTGGGGAGCAAAATCACCCTGGTTGAGAACCCCTGTTCTGGAAGGCCAACATCAGCATAATCCAGAATATCTTTCCCTAGAGGAAAAAACTAATTACTAAATATGAAATGAATTGTGTGAGCTCATCCCAGCTGCCTTAATTATAAAAGTAAATGACTTTATAATCTCTAAATGTAACCAAAGAGAGTTTCTGAAGTGACCTCCTGCAACCCAGTTAGGGACTCATTTGTGGGGAGGGGGTGGTGATGGTTGAATTTAGGAGTCAACATGACTAGATTAAGGAATACCCAGATAGCTGGTAAAGTATTATTTCTGGGTATGTCTGGGTCAGTTTTCTGTAAGAGATTGGCATTTGAATTAGTGACTAAGTAAAGAAAATCCATCCTCATTCAGTGTGGGTAGGCACCGCCCAGTCAGCTGAAAGCCCAGAACAAAAAGGCAGAGCAAAGACAAATTATTTCTCTCTTCTGGAACTAGGACATCCTTCTTCTCCTGCCCTTGTACATCAGAACTCCAGGTTCTGTGGTCTTTGCACTCCAATACTTACACCAGCAGCCCCCACCCATTTCTCAGGCCTTCAGCCTCAGACTGAGAGTTACACCATCAGCTTCCCTGGTTCTCAGGCCTTTGGACTTATACTAAGCTATGATGCTGGCTCGCCTGGTTCTCCAGATTACAGATGCCTATGGCAGGATCTCTCAACCTCCATAATCAGGTGAACCAATTCCCGTAGTAAATCCCCTCTCTTCCTCTCCCTCTCTCTAGATACATCCATCTATCTATTTATCTCTCTCCTATTTGTTCCATTTCTCTGAAGAACCTTGAGTAACACAGGGCTCGAGGGGTAGGGGTGGGATTCACACACAGAAATGAAGTCTAATTCATCTTGAGATCTCATATAGCCTGGTCACTGGCAGAAAGGACTGAGAAATAATTAGGACTTGGGATTACCAAAGATCCAAACCCATGACAAGACTCTTTTGCTGCATCAGGTTCCTGAGGGAGATATTTGCAGAAGGGATAAGGCTAAGCAAATAAACATTCTATTTACTACTGGGGAGTTCAACCTCAAATATAATTCTCTGGTGAGCTGGGCTGGACCTAAATCCAAGGAGCCCCTGAAGCCTCCTTAGAATTACTCCCTGAAATTCACTCCTTTTGAGAGAAAAAAATAAAAAATAATAAAAATTTTAAAACTGTGGGAAAGCAAACCAAAGAAATCAAGAAAATTATCTGAGGAATTAAGAATTTAGAATTATGACACATCTTAGAATACTCTGAAAATCTTACTGATGATTCTACCAATTATTTCTGAGATACAGTCTCTCTCGGTAATCTGCTTTTCTGCCATCCAGGTATGAATCAGCATTGCTCTTCCTGAAATCCTCTCATTACCATTATTAGGCTTTCCAATTTTTGCGCAAAGCATCAGCTTACTCATTAAATTAAGGCCAACCACCATCAAAGAGAAGAAAAGTCTTTCACAGCCTTTGCTGAGTAAGTATTTGCATCACATGTGGGGTTTTAAGAAACTTTTTTTAAAAAGATGGGGCCTCACTATGTTGTCCAGGCTGGAATTCAGTGGCTATTCACAGGCATGATCACAGCATCCTAAAGCCCCAAACTCCTAAACTCAAGCAATCCTCCTGTGTCAGCCTTCCAAATAGCTTGAGACTACAGGTACACGTGAGGGTTTTTTAAGGCTCTAAGTCACTTACTTTTTTTCAAGAAAACTTCCATTCCAACAGGCTGCAGAAGATAATATCTGAACAACACCACTGCTCAAAGAAAAGAAGGGAGGGGGAAGCCTTTAATAATTACAAATAAATGGTTATTTAAGCATCAATAATAAAGTAACCATCTACTCAAGGATTTCATTAATAGCAGCTCTTTGTCAGCTGAAGCTTTGGAAAATGTACATTTGCTTTAGAAAAACAGGATGTCACATCTCAAAATGAAGAAGAACTTAAGTTTCCCATGTTAGGGGAAAAAAAAGAATATCAAAGCTCCTGAAAGAAAACCTCTTGTCCCAATAATGTTCTTGAATATTTTTCTACCACCAACCATCTAAGAAGTGCCCTATCTAAACTCCAAAGAGAAACACAGAATAAAACCAAAAAAGAGAAGCCAAGCTGTTACTTCCCGAACACAGAAATTATCTTGGCAAATTAATAACTGAAAAATTACTTCTATTTTGCTGCATATCTGAGACATAAATTAAAAAATAGTGAAACAAGTGCTTATTCCCATTACCTTCTATTATACAGGCTCTGAGGAAACAGCTAATTCTGAGGGCCCAAAATGAAACTGGACATCAGGAACCCTGGGCCTTTCCATTCAGTGTAAGGAAAAGGGAAAGAATAACACAAATATACAGCTGGGGAGGGGATTACAGTAGTTTCTGTTAATCACAGAATTTAGATCAGGAAAGATCTTTAAAGATCATGTCTTCCATCCATTCATTTTATAAATAAGAAAACAGAGAACTAATGGTAAAGTGTCACCATTTCCCTTGCTGGACCCCAGCAAGCCCTCATCTCCTCTCCCCTGCGACCCTTCAGCCTGAGCTCCTTGGCAGAGCCATCCTAAGGTTAGAGGGATTCTGAAGACTGCCACAGAGCTGCTCTAGGGCGTTTCTAATGCTCTCTCACTCACAACGTTACTAGCTCAAGTGCCTCAAAGTGTAGCGTCCTGGTCATTTGGCCCACTACAATCTATGTCATAATGCAGGAACCATTATGTACGTTTCTGGGAATAACCACAACTTAGTGCACAGAGCTTGATTTATTCTTCCCAAGAATCAGACTTTGCAGAAAAAAGTGGAGAGGCTGAGGAAAGCCAATGAAAATGTGTAAAAATGTGCAAAGGAAAATTGTCCTTTAAATTTGATAAAAGCTCTCAATCCTACTTACTGTTGTTTTTTTTTTTTTCTACATGACTCTGAATTACCATCTCAATCATTATGAATAGGAAAATGCTAGAAATTATTAAGATTAGGTAAGATAACAGCTGTCTCAGATTTGGGATGTTTTGGAACATGCATACACTAAAACCCATGGGAGTTAACCATAACGCTAAGCTCTCTTAGCAGAATCACCAACTCAGGCCTTCATCAGTCAGGATTTTTAAGATCATACAATAAACAAGGCAGGTTGAGGCATATACTGTGTGTGAGAATTGGGGATCCATCCATTATGCTATTTGGGGCTAAGGAGATCAACCCTGAAATAGTAACCAAAAATAACCCACGATTCCCTATAATGTAAAACCCCATTTACATTCACAGTATCAATATGCAAGTACGGAAAATCACACTAAGCTAAAAAGTTGTAACATACTTTGTGGAAAAAAAAATGAAGACAAGCAGCCACATACTTGATTGTATTTGCATTGTTGTGTTCTGAGAGTTTTTGTCTCCAAACTGCTATGGTTTCATCATTTATTAAACTGGTATAATGTGCTTGGTTCATAGTCCTGAAGTCAACAGCAGGAGAATAATTCTGGAGAATTAAATGTAACAGTAAAAAGAAGAAATTATGTAGCATGGATCTTGTCTCCTCTCCTTTCTCCCACATATTCTCCATTTTACGTTTCACTTATGATCTAAATGCTGCAGTGTGCCGCCCAGATCCCCTCCACCCTTCAGAATGGAGGCTCCTGACAGATCCCAGCTGGGTTGCTGTCCAGGACTTGGCATTGACTGTTGCTTCACTATCACATCCAATGGCAGGTAGAGGCATGGTGTAAAGGTCCAGCCCGCTTGCCTCAACTCAGGACTGGCTGAAGGACCATCACAACTTCAGTGCTCCTCATGGGACTGGCTGAGGCCTCTGTTATAACTGAATTGCATTTCAACCCCTCCCTCTGCGCAATCCTGCCTCCTTCATCCCTCAGTAGATGTTCTTCTAGAAAGCACTCTCCCAAAAACCTTTGAGTCTCGGGTCTGTTTCCCAGAGAAACCAACTCAGTACAACTTTCCCAGACTTCTTTCCCCTTTGCTTTGAATCACTGTAACAGCAGGTTTTTAAGGTATTAGTCATCTGCCATAAATGTCCACCAAACTTCAACAAAATGTATTACAAAAGAGCCAGAGTTCAGTTATAATCTATATGACAAATAACCTATAAAAACAATGACTCTTAATTTCTTGCTTCAAGTATATAGCTATTATAAGAAAAATGGCAGAAAAAGATGTTAATAATGTATGTCCTTGAAAATTCCAAATGTTGCCCAACACTGTACATCTTTTATTCAGTGAGATTAAAGAAAAAAAACATAATAAGCACTTTCCTTTTCTAAAATTGCTTGTTTTCAACTTATTTTCCCCAAGCCTTGTTCTTGATCGAGAACTAAGGAAAGGTTGATGGTGCTTTATACTCCTATTCTCGTCTCCAGTGAAGAGGAAAAAGGTAATATTAAAGCACTCATTCATCAGCTCATGAGATTTTTTTTCTCCTTTGTACCTACACATAAAAACATAACTTTCAAAGTAAATTTTCTTGGTTACTTTCCCATAGCTTCAAGTTAACGTATCATTATGGTAGGAAGGAGTAGAGCATGTAATAAAACAGAGATGCCTGACAAAGTTTGTGATCATCTGGTTATTGATAACTATTCTACTAAAATGGCCACAGATATCTATTGAGAGAACAAAAATCATCTTGAAGTACAACATACAGGAAACTCATAATCCAAAGCAGATGCTGGAGTACACACAGAGATTGTCTTTCCACCTCCTTGTAAAACCACTGTTGTTACGTAAATTTTATTTATTTCCCCCATTCAAAGGGGCAGCTGAACATCAACTCTAACACAAACCTACAATAAAATAAAGACTTGGAACTATTTTATCATTCCTCATCATATGTCCAATAAACCAGAGATGCCTTGGGTGAAGTACAAGTTCAGAATCACTTAAAGAACCAAGAAAAAACATCATTCTTCCTGTCTTTAATACATACAGGCAAAAAAGGAAAAATTGCTCTTAGGTCAGTGTTTCTCAACTTTGGCTGGACTTTGAATCACCATGGGAGCGTTCAATAATCCTGATGACCAAGTCATACTCCAGACCAATTAAATCAGAATCTCTAGAGTCATCAGTATTTTGTAGAGCTCCCAGGTGATTCCAGTAGGCAGCCAAGGTTAAGAATCACTGTTCCAGGAAAAAGAAGATTATGAGATAGACACACACACAAACACACACACATGCACACACAATTCTAACAATCCCAACCACATTCCCTCTTCAATTCTATCCAGGGAACAAAACGACAGGAAAAGGAGATGCTATGGTTTACATTCACTAAATTCCCAAGACCTAGAATCAGTGTAGCAAAGGGGTATCTGAATATAACTCCTTCCCTCCCTTCTTTCACCTAAGGCCTGGCAGTAATGAATGAGTCAGCCTTTTATAAAAATAGAGGCTATGGCCGGGCGTGGTGGATCACGCCTGTAATCCTAGCACTTTGGGAGGCCGAGGAGGGTAGATCACTTGAGGTCAGGAGTTCAAAACCAGCCTGGCCAACATGGTGAAACTGGTCTCTACTAAAAATACAAAAAAAATTACCCAGGCATGGTAGCGGACGCCTGTAATCCCAGCTACTCAGAAGGCTGAGGCAGGAGAATCGCTTGAAACCAGGAGGTGGAGGTTGCAGTGAGCCGGGATCACGCCATTGTACCCCAGCCTGGGCGACAAAGCAAGACTCCATCTCAAAAAAAAAAAAATAGAGGCTGTAACTATACAGGTGCTTTTTCTTGGTTCTTTAAGTGATATGGTAACAGGGTAAGCATATGATTTGATCAGCCTCTGTATCTAAATAATCATCTCTGGTTAATAGTTTAAGTAAATGTGCATAGGTTTCAGTTTCAAAAGAAAGAGCAACATCTTCTTAAGTAATGTTTACTTTCCTTTTTCTTTGTGATCTTACACTTTTCATGCATACCTATCCCTCTTTCCAGTTGTTTAAACTTTAACCTGCCCTGCCTCTCTAATAGTATGCTACTTCACTTCCTTCTCATCAGTGTGTTGTTTTCCAGGCCCAAGGTGTTGATTACAATAATAAAAATCAGTTACATATATCAGATACTATATTTACAAGAGAAAACTAAATTTCATGTTAAATTTCACAGGAAAATTAAAGTTGGATACTATTGAATAACACTATTCAATACTAGTTTCTAGGGGAAATAAATACTTAAAACTCTATTACTTATGGACAAAAACTGATTATCCTCCACAGAGTCAGTGCCTTTTGTATTTTGTTTTATTGACATCTTGAAGAAACAAAGAAAAACCTCAGCTTCCTCAGGATTTCTCTGTAATACACACTCTGAGGCTGGGTCTAAAATAAGTCTAGGGCAGCAGTTCCAAATCACGCCAGATGGTAGCACTAAGCCACCTTCTTCAGGCACCTGACCTGGAAAATAGCTAATCATCAGCTTTAGCTGTCCAGCCTACAGCCTCGGGCTCCACCAGGATTTTCCAACCTAATCACAGAATCAGAATGACTAGAAGGCAAATACTTTGTGTACTTAAAGATAGCTAAGTATCAAACTAATAGAGAAAGTTTCCAAGACAGAAAGAGCCCCTGGTTTCCACAGTTGCTCATTATCTTCCCAGTCAATTCTGACTCCTTTTTCTTCACTAACAGCCCATTCCCTTGCTCCTCCAAGAGAGTATAAGGATCCATGCACCACTCGGAGCTGGTCCTGTTGAAATGTTTGCTGAATAAAAGCAGGAAGGGTGGGGAAGAAGAGAAGAGAGGAGAGAAAGCACAGGGGAAGGAGTCCAGCACTGACAACAAATCTGTGGAGTTTTTCCAGACTGAATTCCCCCAGCAAGGAAGAGTGGAAGGAATTCGAGCCCTGTCACAGAAACCTGGATCCACACTCTACCTTCAGGCAGAAAGACAATGTCACAGTGTCTTTATCCACTATAGTGATGCAGGAGACAATGGAAGGGAAATTTTGGTGTCATGTCATAAGCAGATTACAAATAATAAAATACATCTGAAAATTGTGGTACCTCTTACATACATATATATACTCAATCACATCAAACAAAGAAACCCACCAAGTTCTCAAACACCTAGCATTTGTTGCCACTTAACAGGGAAGAAAAGAAATGGAAAATCAAATAATGCCAAAGTAAGCACCAACTCCCTAGGCATCCTTTACAGAGTTTCTGGAACAAGTACAAATATAAATAAATAATTTCAAATTATAAATTAGAACTCCATAATTCCAGGAGAATTGTTGGCACTTCAAGGGAGCCAAATGGAGACAACTTCTTCCAGATTTAGTTTGCTTATTTTAAAAATAACATAGGATTGGTAGAAACAAAGAGTAACATTGCTCTTTATGTTGTAATTACTTGTTAAAAGAAATGTTGGTTCACTATTATTCCTTCCTGGAAATAAGAGTCACAAGAAAAATTTTACCTCGTATTTGGAGCAAAGTACAAAAGTCTGGTCTCCTCCAGAGAAGATCTGCTTAACGATATGATATTTAAAGCGATCTGTCAAAAAAAAAATTCCGAAAGCATATTTTTCATTAATTGAAGTTTCTCCTTGATCCCCTTTTCTACTGTCGCAGAATACACTTCAGAGTGGGTACCTATCCATTTTAATTGTGTCACAGAAGTAAGAAATCTTCTCCCCTGGCTCACTGCCTAGGACTGTTTCTACTTCAATTAAAAATAAATATATAAAATGGTATCCTCCACTCTAACTCTTCTTCTGCCCCTCCCCAACTGCCAGTGAATCCTGACCTAGTTTCTCTTTTTCATTCTAACTCTGTCATGCCACTGACCTGAAATCTGAAATGGGCACTATTCTTTATGGTAACAATTCAGCATGTGAGTGTGGTGGGCCCAGGCCCCGTCAGGACGAATCTTGCCACGGAAGGACCTCCGTTTCCTGCTCCCTGCTTTACCTCCCATCACACTGTGTCCACGGTGACATTCTCCTACTACCACGTTGCCTTTATTTCTAATACACCACACTATTTCACATCTCGGTGCCTCCCCCCTCTGCTGCCCCTGGCACATGGGATTCTCCATGAATGTGCCCACCGAGAGCACAACCTGAATGTGCTTCTGGAACTGCACCTTGGTGGTGCTCACACCAACTCCCTCACAGTCCTCTACACCTGGCTAACTCCAAATCATCCTTCGAGGCACAGCTCAAACTTCCTCTAACCACAATACTCCTCCATGCCTTCCTCTGTGCTCCCACATTACCAAGAGGGTTCCTAAAACCATGTCATTTACATAACTGACATTTACCTGCTTATGTTATAAAATCATTTTGGCAAACATCCAAGCACAAATTTAGGACCATGGAAGTCAGGTTATAATTCAACTTCAAAAATTTGTGGTTTTGAAATAACCAAAAAACACCTGAGTTGGTAAACTTTCTAAATAAATGTATTCCACGTATGAGTACAATGTCTTGGAGAAAAGAATTTACAAATTACAGAGAAGAGGACACAAAGCCATTCTTTTGCTTCTGGGAACATCACCCAGACAAAATCTTGTTTATTTATATTTTAAGTTGCACTACATTTCAGATGCTCATATATCCATTCCAAAAATGTCTACTGAGTGACAAGTTCATGCCAGGTCCTGTGCTATATGCTAGGTTTACAAAAAGGAAAAGAGTTTGTCTGTGTCCTTGAGTTTCTTATAATCCAGTACTAAAACTTATGATGGTTACTGTTTCAAACAAATTCCTGATCAAGCCATAAGTGTGTCACTTTATCGACTTCAAAATCAAAATTAATAAGTTACACTTCCTTTTAATGATTCTCTAGCTCCATTTCAGCCTCAGATTTATTATTTCAAGGTGAAGCAGTCATTCAATATTAATGACTGCCTGACTTTGATTTCCAATGAAACCAAGACTGCTATTTAACTATTTTTTAAGGGAAGAAAAAAAATGGCTTAAAAAGAAATCACATCATGTTATATACCAAAATGCCAACAGCAAAGTAGAGGTAACATAGTACACATGATTTAGAATGACCTGGGTTTAAATCCTGCCTCCAGAATCTATGTGATCTTGGGCAAATTACTTGACCTCCTTAAGACTTTGTTCCCTTATCTCTAACATGGGGATAATAACCACTAACTAGTTCTTAGATTATTTTGAGTGCTTTGCATAGTAATGAAACGTCATTAAGCATTCAATACATGCGAACTGTCATTATTAGCAACAACAATAAAATGTATACACCACCACCAAGGTCTGTGGAAACAAAATAACTGGTATAGTTTGAATGTATGTTCTGGTCAAAACTCATGTTGAATTGCAGTAATCCCAATGTTGGAGGTGAGGCATGGTGGTATGTGTTTAGATCATGAGGGCGGATCCCTCATGAATGGCTTGGGCCATCCCCTTGGTGATAAGTGAGCTCTTGCTCTGAGTTCACATGAGATCTGGTGGTGTAAAAAGTATGGCACCTCCTCTCCACTCTTCCTCTTGCTCCTGCTTCTGCCATGTGAAGTGTCTGCTCCTTCTTTGCCTTCTGCCATGACTGTAAGATTCCTGAGGCCTCCCCAGAAGCCAAGCAGATGGCTGCATCATGCTCCCTGTAGAGCCTGCAGAACTGTGAGCCAATTAAAACTCTTTTCTTCATAAATCACCCTGTTTCAGGTGCTCTTTACAGCAATGCAAGAACGGCCTAACACAACAGTATTTCCTGCTTTATTTATTCTCTAGGATCTCAACTCTACAGCTTCATGCATAGTAAGTACAGAAATTATTAATTGATGTTAAAAAATACCTTATCTTCATTCCCTCCAAAAGACCTCAAAGTAAGTAATAGATACATATTCTGTAAACAACTGTTTTCATCACTTAAAATACCTTTAAATTCCAGAGACAATCATTCTTACCAGCTCGGGCTGAAAGCTGGCCACTGTGGGCAGCCCAGTAACCCTTGACAGGAGATGGGCACTTAACATTACAAGTGTGCCCAGTTCCTAATTGACCTCTTGCTCCACAACCAAATGCATAGATGAGTCCAGAAGAAGGCACGAAGGCTAGGGTATGTTGTCTGTGAAAAAATAATTTAACTCATCAGCATAGTTTCTACTAATGTGGATGTACACTCTGACTCTGACTTTTAACTTCCACATGTGCACAGCACAGGGTGCTCCTATAGAGCCTTTCCCATGTTAACACGTGACTCTTCTTGCAGCGGCTGCTCTCCATAATACTATCCTCTAACACTCTAGATCATGAGGAGGGTGGCAAGTCAGGAAAGAGCTGAATGATCTACTGCATGTGGCCTCTAAGATGAACAGAGAGAAGCAGGGTAGACTCAGGCAAAAATTTCCAAGAAGTTCTTTGGGACTCTCTCACTTTTCCTTTCTTTATCCCTTCCCCACATCCTGCTACTCTTTATCCCAAAAGAAGCCTAATGTCTCCGTGTTGCTCTGCTTATCTAAAACCCTTCCTTGCCACACTCTATCAAGGTCTTTCTCCACATTTCACCATAGGCGTGCATGCAGTTAAGATCTCTTAAAATGACGGTGACTAGGTATAATCACATTCTTCATCACTACAAAGATAAGACCAATTTCTGGGTCCTAGTGAATACAAGCAAGCTTTGAGGAACACTCACCTGCCACAAGCAATTTGAGTTACTTCACTACCCATCAGCTCTAGAACTCTTCTAGGGTTAACCTCATCATTCATGGAGTCGTGTCCAAGTTGCCCACAGGAACCAGCGCCAAAGGTAAACACACCTCCACTCTAACAAGGAACAAACACCATAGGACTTCACTGTATCTTTAAGGGTATACCTCTAAACCCTGTATACAAAATGCCTATCACAACAATGTGCACAAGAGCACTACATTCACTTGACACTTGGCCAAAATCACTTTGTAAGGATGTTCATTAAATAGAAAAATAATAAAAAGGGAATTTCAGACTGCATCTTTATGGAACAAAGATAGCAATGCTCAAAGGAATGTGTGCCTTCTGTAAATTTTTAAAATCGTTTGAAAGTACAATGATGTGTTAGGAAGCAAAATTTTAAAAAAGGAGAAACTAGGAGCTAGGCTAAATGAGATGATTTTACATGATCATTCACATGTAAGAAATTAGGTGCTCTACAAATTCCTTGGTAAGTAAGCTGTTTTTTTAACAGCTGTATTTAAATAAATGTTAAGGCATTTTATCAAAGTGAACGTAGAATAATATTTGTTCAATATAAAAATACATTTTCATTCTCTCTAGAATGTATTTAGAAGCAAAAGAAACATGATTATTTTAAAACATTAATTAAATTGCTGTTTCTTTTTTACATATTTAAATGACTTGTTTTAAAGGAACATAGGACATCATTTTATATATATTATATATACATAAAATAACAAATAAAAATAACAAAGTGCTGTCTTTGTTCCATAAAGAACCAAGGAATTTATATATATATAAATATATACATTATATTTATATATATAATCTACATTTTTATATAATCTACATTATATGTGTGTATATATATATAATCTACATTATGTGTGTGTGTGTATATATATATATATATATATATATATATATATATATATGAAAAATCTACAAGATTACCAAAGAGGATAACAGAGACATACAAAAAAGTAGTCTTTTTCTATTCCTTTGGAAAACAACAAACCCACATAAAAGAGAGCATTCAAGTTCAAGCCACAATACTGTAATCACACACCATCACTACACTAACATAATCAAGCAATTCTAATCACCCATCATATCCCCAGCACCAAAGTAAAATACTCTGAGCTCCTTACCTTTGTGAGAACTGCTGTGTGTTCTTCTCCACAACTAATATAGACAACTTTTTGCGTGCGTAAGAGTTTTACATGGCATGGAGATTCTCGATCTAGAATAAATTAAATATCAGAATATCACTACCATTTGCCTTTGAGATGAAATATACACAACTATCTTGGCATGAATTTTGGATTCCTGGATTCCTGACGCATGTTCAGTTTCCTGCCTGCATCTGTACTTGGATATCCAACAGACTTCTCAGTTTTAATTTACCTAAAACCTACCTCATGGTTTCCCTACACTCTCCAACCCTGCCCACTCTCCAGCTCACTTTACTACACACGGTTTTCCCCATTTCAGAAACAGTCATTTTGCCCTTCCAGCTGTTCCTTTATTTCAAACCACACATCCAACAGTGAACAAAACCAACTGGCCTCATCTTCAAAATATGTTTAAAATCTGACTTTACTCCCACAACCTCCAAGCTGGTCTTCCAGCTTCCCCCTTGACCCACTACAGCCAAAGCCAAAGTGGATCACGCTTCTCCTCCAAACCCTCAGGGTCTTCCCCTCTCACTGAGAAAACCAGTTATATCCTCACCCTGCCCCTCAGGGCCCTGCATAACTGGGTCTACACGACTTCTCTGACCTGCAGCTGTGCTACTCTTCCCCTTCTCTCCAACTACATCTCTTCCCACATGAGCACCTTTGCACACCCAGTTCTCTCTGACAGGAACATTTTTCACCCAGACATTTACATGTCCCATCTCCCACCTGATTTCCTACAGGTTCTGCTCAAACATTTTCTTATCAGAGGGGCCCTTCCCCACCACCTTATGTAAAGCAGGAAGCTGCACTCTCAAATCCTGTGTATTTACTGGTTTTGTTGCACCTCTACTCACTAGAATACAGTCTCCACTAAGACGAGGATGTTCTCTATTGTGTTCACTGCTTCTCCCTTAGTATCTCACATGGGGCTAGCACATAGTAGATCCTCAAGAAGCATGTGTTAAATGAATGTGCTTTTAAACTAAATACATACATATGAAGGGTTTACCTACCTTTTTCATCACTGAGCCCTAGCTGCCCGGCATTATTCATCCCCCAGCCAAAAACAGCTCCTGAGAGAGACAGGGCAAAGCTGTGAGCCCCTCCGGCAGCCACCTGAGCCAGTGGGATCCCCTCCAGGGACCTCACCCTCTGTGGGCTGGCTTGGGAGGGGAACTCCTTCCCTAAGCCAAGCTGCCCATGGCTGTTCTTTCCCCAGGTGAAGAACTGGCCATCTGAAATAACAGGATAACTGGTATTACCATAAAATGATACAAGCTCCACACACAAAAATAATCTAGTTATTAGGGTCATTTGCCAGTTGCCCCCCAACACCAAACCCACCCAAGAGCAAAGGAACAGAGATACTTCATGCTATCAGACTGCCAAAACCAAAACTCCCAAGTGATATAACAGAGAGGTAAGCTGAGTCTTACTGCCCTTCAAAGGCTATTAAAATTTATACACAGAAAATATTAAATGTATAAGTAAATTCAATTTCGGACAGGCCAATTACCAGGCTTAAGCAAGATCACACTAGTTCTGACCACACTAAGACTATGAGACCCAAGACTTCGGGAGGTCCAGCAATGACCACTTGGTCTGCTCTGCAGATAATCAAGCAGGACACAGAAGTGCAGATTTATTTAGGTTTCTCCAACTCCTTCTTTTTCATTCATTTGGGAGCTTGATAGTGGAATGTAGCTTGAGAGTTGGCTGTCGCTAAGAAAAATCAATCTCCTCCATGCTCAGAACACCTAGGTATGGTCCTGCCCCCTGCTTATCTTCCCCTGTGAAAGTTGGAGCAGCAATGATGACCACCTACTTCATCACCCACACCCTGAGAAAAGGATGAGCTATGCAAAGCCCATATGAGAATTGTCACTGTCCAACAGCAATGCATAGACCCTAACCAGTTAATTCAAAGTTTTCAGTTAGATAATATCACACAAAAAGACAAAGAGAAATGTTTTCAAAATTAACATAGCATTAGCATATGTTTAATGTTACTTTACCAGCCGCAAGAGCCAAGCAATGCCAGTTGCCACAGGAAACTTGTAATATTGTTTGCTGGTTCAGCTTTTGTATTAACCTAAAACAGAAAAGGCTTTCTTTTTCAGATAGATATTCACACACAAACACAATTATCAGAAATATTCCCAATTAAATAAAATGTCAGTAATAAATAACACCATCTTGCCTAAAAGTCTTTTTAAGGCCAGGCACAGTGGTTCACGCCTGTAATCTCAGCACTTTGGGAGGCCAAGGTGGGCTTATCACCTGAGGTCAGGAGTTCGAGACCAGCCTGGCCAATATGATGAAACCCCATCTCTACTAAAAATACAAAAAAAATCAGCCGGGCGTTGTGGCACATGCCTGTAATCCCAGCTACTCGGGAGGCTGAGGCAGAGAATTGCTTCAACAATTCCCCATCACCATTACTCTTGTCACAATCAGTTGTAGAAAAGAAGCAGGTCAGAAGAACAAAGACAGATAATAGAGAAATTGTACCCTTGAGGTGGGGAAGAGGGAGTCCATACAGTGCAAGCACATACTGTATTTTACCTACTTGTCTCCTTCTATCCTCCCCATAACCCTGTAAGGTACATAGTAAGTAATTTTTAAGTTAGGAAACTGAGGCTTAGAAAAGTTAACCTGCCCAAGGTCATTCACCTTACAAGTAAAAGAGCCAGTATTGGAATCCAAGGCTTGTTTGACATCAAAGCTATGTTACTTTCCACAATACAAAGGTATAAATTAGTGAATTTATTTCAATTAACTTATAATAGAAAACTATATACAAATCAAAGTCTTGGAAGTCATCCATAATTTGAACATGAATAATGAATATTAAGCTATTACTGTAGAACAGATTACTTCATTTTTAAAAATGAAATGCCGTTAAAAACCTTAATTGTGTTTTGGTCATCAACAAATGAAATATTTTTGCCATTAATGTTATAAACATTTTCCCTAGTATTACACACAACATAACATCTAGCACTTCTTTTTTCTTACTGCCACTCTTCCTCTCCCCACAAAATTAAATTAATTTTTGGAAGAAATGAATCTAAGACATTACCTGTCCTAAATCAAGAACTGAATCAAATCACTCTTACCTCCATGGTCCTCTTATTTAACACAACTTTTGATTAAAGAGACAAAAATCTAACAAGGGCAAAAAAGAAGAGGAAGAAGAATATGCTGTTCTTTAAAGGGGACGATAATTAGGCAGAGGAGGAGAGGCCATTTATTAAATTTGTACTCAGCAATGTATGTGATAGGCACTCCTAGCAATGGTGATGCTAAAATAAATCATCCAATTATCCTGCCATTAATAGCTCACATCTTTGTAGTAAAAACAGATATTAAATAAACAATTACAAAGAATGTGTACTATAGTAGTGGTATGTGGAACACCTGTAGCACAAAGGAGTAAGAATTGAATAAAGGAAATAAAATGGCAGCTCTTTGATCATTAAGAACCTTCAACAAACTGAGACACCACCACTAAAAAGTCCATTTGAAAGTAACTTCAATATTTGGGATGTTCTCTTAGTGGCAACTATTAGATACTTAGCTAAATCATCTAAGGTTTAGATTTAAGTGAATCTTTAAGAGACTCAAAACCTACTGTATTAACATTTTTGCATTAAAGAATCTATGTATATCTGGTATTTTAGCTGTTTGTAATGCTTAAAGTGATTTGGCCTATCAGAGTAACAGGTCAGCTTTGTGATTCTATTTTAAAGTACTTAATTGAGTAATTCAGACTTGCAATTTTCAGTTGAAGGTTAATAAGCCTACGATGTGAAAGATGTCTTTTTTATTCAAACATTTATCGACTGCCAGGCACTCAGCAAGCAAACAGGCTACTAGAATAAATAAAGTACAGTTCCCAACCGACTCACATTTTTGAAACAGAGACAGACACTTCTATAAATAATTGCAACTTTTGTGACAAGTGTTTTAATAGTATAAGGCACAGGAGTGGTGCAAAGGAAATAGCAATTAAATGAAGAAAACAGAAGAAAAACAAGGAGTCTAACAAATCAACAGCAGGAAATAGCATTTAAAACGACTGACATTTGAAAACCTTCTTACCTGGGCACTGCCACAGAATCCTCAGTAGTCATGAGTCCTAGCTGACCATCACTCCCTGCACCCCAAGAAAACAGCTGGCCTCGGTCACTGAGGGCCAGACTGTGGGACTCGCCACATGCCACATGAATGATATGCTGATCTGCCAGAGCTCCAATTTGTTCTGAAAGAGACAAATTGGAGGAGGAAAATGTACAACCCAGAAACAGGAATACTGCTACCATTACACAGGATTATCTTCCTGGGCAGTTTTATTTTTTAACAAGAACCACTTAATCTGAATATTTATAGAGATTATAAATTTCACATATTTCTAAACTCTATCAATTTACATTCGGAGACCCGGGGTAACACACATCCCAGATATACTATAGTATATACTATAACTATAGTAGCACACACATCCCAGATGTTCCCTGAACCTATACAGCCATGTGCCTGGTGCTTCTCTCTCCAGGGAGAAGCCTGTACTATTTGGAGATGTTCCATCCAAGAGGCCTAAATGTTGAGTGGAAATGAAACATATTTCTAAAAGTAGCGGGAGTGAGTGAAACTCTGCCTGGAACAATGAGACCCTCTCCCCCCACATACAAACACACCCAGAATGCTAAACAACTTTCTCCCCTCAGTTCTGGATCACAGTCTTGTCTGTATCCAGCCAGGAAACAGAAGGATCTCTCTCTGGGAAAACTGGCCCAAAAGACAAGACCCACAGATAGTGACATTTGTGCATCCCTCAATGAAATGTCTAGCTTCCCATCAGTCAACAAGAATCACACACGCCATGTGAGCGGACACACACAGCTCCACTCACGTTAGCACCTCACCCTTCAATGTAAAAGGCCAGACAAGGATCACCCTATGTGTGAGGAAAACTTAAACATGAAAGGCAAAGAGCAACATAAACAGAAGGAAATGAACTCTGAAAAAACAGATCATGCAGGGAGCAAAGTTTCTTAAAAGTCTTTTGAGAAATCAAAGAAGATATTTCCACTCATGAACTAGAAAGAGAGTGCTATAGGAAAGTATTATTCAAAAAACAAACCAACAGAAATATCTTGGAAACCAAAAATGTGGTAGCATAAATTTAAAAAAAAAAAACCTTCAAAAGCAGGATTGAAAGTTAGAAATGAAGAGATTTTCTAGGAAATAGAAGAAAAAAGCAAAGAGAAAATCAGAAGGGGAAAAAAGATAAGAAATTATAGGATTGTTCCAAGAGGTCCAACATCCAGAAAGAGAATGGAGAAGACACAAGATATAAATATTTCAAAAAAA
Organism: Homo sapiens; assembly: GCF_000001405.40. NCBI lineage: Eukaryota > Metazoa > Chordata > Mammalia > Primates > Hominidae > Homo > Homo sapiens. Next base: position 88,648,727 of record NC_000004.12, on the reverse strand, counting down.
AATCACAAGAAAATTTCACACTGAAAGGATCTATTAAGTGCCCAGAATAATGACCAACAAAATACCTACTGTAGAACCCTTCATCTTGAAATTTCAGAATAACAAGAAAGAGTCTAAAAGTTTCTAGAAAAGAACATGTTTATATACAATAGAACAGGGATCAGAATGGCATCATACTTCTCAGAAGCAACACCGAAAACTGTAAGACAATGGAGGGATGCCCTCACAATTCTGAAGGAAAGTAACATCCAATCAAGAATTCCATACACCAGCTGTGAATGAAATGTGAGGCAAGGGGAGCAAAAGGGCAGTTCTGGAGCATGTAAAGCTCTCAAAATATTTTACCTCCCATACTGCTTTTCTCAGAAAGCTACTGGAAGATATGCCTCCAAAACAAAGAACTCAGGATTTAGGAACCAGGAATCTTACACAGACAGGAAGGAGGTGAAGAACCTTTCCAGACAGCTATGTAGCATGCCTACAAAGCAAAGGTGGAGGGATGTCTCCAAGGTGAAAAAGAAAACACTACTTAAAGAGTTTTAGAGCATTATGAGTTTTATAATTCTACCAGAGATACAGAGGTTACTGTGGAAAAAAAAATTAAAGTCAGTAACTTCAGGAAAAACTAAATGATTTATGAGAAAGAAAAGCAATCATGGTACATGCAATCATAATAACCAAACAAAAATACTTTCCATAGTTAATAATTGTCAAATTTTATTTAAAAGATTAACTCTTTGGGGAAGGATGAGTGTCTGGTGGTGAGGAAGAGGAGAGGGTAGGTAGAGAATATAACAGAACTCTAATCTTTGCCAGTGTGAAGTTTCCAGATTATGTCCAATATTGAAAAAAATCAAGAAATAATATTATAAGCATGTTATTTAGAGACATAAAGGTAAGCAGCAAAAAAAAAAAAAAAGCTAAAGAGTTGAAATGATAGGGAGTGAGATTCAAGATAAGGACAGGTGAGGCAGGGAACTGTTATTTAACCTGAACACAGTTTGCATAAATATATTCCTTCAAAACAATAACACTTTTTTTAACTGAAAATATGCTCATGCCAGAGAAATTACCATAATAAACAGAAAGATTCTGTAATTCCTATTGTTCCCATTGTCCATCTTCTTTAACCTCTGCTCACTACTTACTTCCCAACTCAGCCTTGCACCAGGCACAAAGAATAGTCCTATCTTTACCTTGCAAAAATGTAAGGAACGCTATCAAAGGAGCCCAGGTGGCTCAGACTCCACTCTAACCAAATTTCCACCTTGTACCAATTCCAGGACTTGGACGGCTTTTCTGTTCTCTAGACCTGGGGCCTAGCCTGATGCCTTATTCACGACTGAGGCCTGTCTCTTGGTACCTAACCTTCCTGCTACTGACTAGCAGCCTTACCTGTCTGAATGTTAGTATATGGCCTAACACAACACTAATAATTTTCCCCACTATCCTGACAGAATACTGTCGCTCTGATCTGTCTGCCGTTTTCTTTCCCTCAGTCTCTCAATAGCATCCCTCTCTTGATCTTGTCTTTACTACAGCTTAGTAGCCTCAAAAGGGAACACCTGGATTCCAATGACCATTGACTCCCAGTCACGTCAATCTCTAGGCAAACCAATTCCTGTCCCATCACTCACCAGCCGCACCTGAGCTCCTTTGATAGCATTCCTTACATTTTTGCAAGGTAAAGGACTATTCTTTGTGCCTGGTGCAAGGCTGAGTTGGGAAGTAAGTAGTTGAGTAGAGGTTAAAGAAGATGGACAATAGGAACAACAGGAAATCCAGCTACCCTCACCACAACAATAAAACCTGCAGCCACAAAGGCAGAAATACTGTTCAGCAATGCAAATGTTGATGGAGAACCAAACCACTGGTTACACAAGTCTAACTTATTCTATTTCTTCTAGCCAGAAAACTGCGCTCGTCTAATTCAGGCTGGAGATCTGTCACTGTGGAACTATGATCCCTCTTCTAGAATCTACCCCCTAGGTCAGCCCAGTGTGCTGATGAATGCCTCATTCACTCCCCTCTCTGAATACACCCCTGCCCCACTTGGGAACATTCAGGCTGAAGTGCCCTCTGATTCATTTTCACATGCAGTCTCTTTTGATCCATTCCGTCAAGACTATACACTATATTTTGCAGATGATGATGGAACCTCAACCCACACATTAAAATAACTAAACACACTGAAGAAGCATTTGGTATTTTTCGAGAATAAAAGTATACTTTCTCTTTGAACCTTCCACAGCAACACTTTAAAGTTTTTAAAACTCTTTAGTAATGTTTCCAGTTCTGAACAAGTCATGGTAGTTAGGACAGCACAGTGGCCAATGTGGAGTGCTGCTTACAGCAAGTCTGCCGTTCAGCTGGACTTGCATTATTAGGGTTAGTTCTACTTAGCTCTTGAGCCCATCATAATTTTTTAATGTTTTTTGAGTTAATGGTAAATTTGTCATTTAACCACCAAAAGATGGTAACTGAGAAGGATGATATGAGTCTAGGGGGTAGATGGATGATGCAGATTCTTAAGCCTTGCAACAACCCTGTAAGGCAAGGGCACAGGGTTGTTGTCCTCAGCTCAGAAAGAGGATGTAATTTGGCCAAGGCTCACAACTAATGATTGGTGGAACTGGGATGGACACCAGGTCTGTCTGACTTCAAAGCCCATTATACTTAACTAAGCTATATTGTCTTTCCTCTGGAGAAGAATTAGATAGATTTTAAATTGGTAAAAGTAACCTACAAAGTGAATACCCTATTTATGGATAATGGAAAACTAACTTTTTCCTCATCGTCTGTTCACACGAGAAACACATCCAATGGCTTACAGTAAATAATATCAGCATCTGGGTAGAAAGGACAGTAGTTCCCCCTTATCTGAGGTTTTGCTTTCCAGAGTTTCAGTTACCTGCGATCAGTGCAGTGCAAAAATATTAAGTGGAAATTTCCAGAAATAAGCAACTCATAAGTTTTAAATTGCATACCATTCTGAGTCATGTGATGAAATCTCTCACTGTCCCGCTCTACCTGGGACATGAACCATCCCTTTGTCCAGCATATCCATGCTGTATATGCTCCCTGCCTGTTAGCCCCTTAGTAGCTGCCCCTGTTATCAGATTGAAAAAGCATAGTATATATAGAATTTGGTACTATCCAAGGTTTCAGGTATCTAGTGGGGGTCTTGGAACACATCCCCTGCAGATAAGGAGGGACTACTATATACAGTATATACAAAATTAGTGATTAACAGTTGGCACTAAGTTTTTAATAAAACTATCACAAAATAAATGTAAGCAGTTGATAGTACAAAGAGGGTTAAACTTTCACCACTTAGATGTCTCCTTTCTGCTTTTCCGCAAATTGTCAACTCTACAATTATACTTTTCTTTAATAGTAGAAAACAAGACAGAGACATATTGTAGGAAACCCAGTTCTTCACCCTACCATTCTGCACATTCTAAGTCCTCACATTCACCCTAACTCTTGATTTCCTGTTCCCACCGAACTCTTACCCTCCTGCACATCTTTCCTCCTGCTGCTATACTCTGCTCTCCTGACTGCTTTTTCTCCAAAATACTATCAACCCAGTCTGTGGGGTGCAGCAGACTTTTATTGAAAGTCTGGGTGATGGAGATACACTGTATCTCGGCAAACCGCTCAAAACAAAATATTGTACATCCAAGTTCCTCTGCAGTTCCCAACACAGAAGATGGCCTGGTATCTAATTTTCATCCTAGAGTCTCCCTGCCTCCCACAACATGACTAAGTCTCTTTCCCTCATTTTGTTTGTTCCTGTATCTGAAAGGTCCTTTTCCAAAGCCATATTCCAATTTATTTCTTAATTAATTACTTTGGTCTAAACATTTTGGGGTATCTGGACTATTTCCATAAGAGATTTTCTATCTTGTTTCTGAGCCAAGGCACTGAAACCAGAGTCAGCTTCAAAAAATTTTTAATTATCATAGAATAAACTTGACCTTTTTTTGGTATATAAGTCTATGAATTCAAACACATGTAACTACACAAATAAGTCTATGAATTCAAACACAATCAAGATACAGAACAGTCCCATCACCCCAAAAATGTTCTTCATGCTATTCCTTATAGTTGCATCCTCTCCTCATCCTTAACCCCTGACAACCAACAATCTGTTTTCTCTCACTATAGTTTTGAGTTTTTTATGCTGTCATGTAAATGGAATCATATAGTGTCTAACTCTTTGAAACTGGATTGTTTTACTCATAATGCCTCTGAGATTCAATTAAGTGGTTGCATGTATCAACAGTTTGTTCCTTTTATTGGTAAGGAGTATTCCACTGTATAATGGATGAACTACAGAGCACTGTTCCCAGTTTTTAGTGATTATAAATAGAGGTGCAATGAACATTCACATACAGCTTACTGTATGACAATAAGTTTTCCTAACACTGGAGTAAATACCCAGGTGTGAGATTGCTAGGTTATGTGGTAAATATATGTTTATTTAAAAAAAAGAAAGAAAAAACCTGCCAAATCATTTTCCAGAATGGCCATCCCATTTTGCATTAACACCAGCAATTATGAGAGTTCCAGTTGCTCTGCATCCTTGCCAACACTTGCTATTATCAGTATTTAATTTTACCCATTCTAACAAGTATAATGGTATTTCATTACGGTTTTAATTTGCATTTCTCTAGTGGCTAAAGATGTCAAACATCTTTTCATGTGCTTATTTGCCATCCATCCTCTTTGGATAAATGTCTGTTCGAAGTTCTTGCCAATTTTTAAAATTAAATTTTTATTTCACTATTGAGTTGTTTTTTCATTCTCTTAACACACTCATAGATAAGTCTACTTTAACAACTTTTTCCTTTATGGATTATGTTTTTGGTGTCATGTCTAAGAACTCTCTGCCTAACCTCAGGTTATGAAGAATTTCTCCTCTGCTTTCTTCTGAAAGCTTTATTGACTCACATTTTACATTGAGATCTGTGATTCATTTTGAGTTAATTGTTTTAAAAAGCTGTGAGATTCAGATCAAGGTTCTTTTTTTTAAGGTATGAATGTCCAAGTGTTCCACTACCCTTTGCTAAAAACAACTAACAAAATCCTTTCTATATGGAATCTCTTTTACATTTCCATCAAAAGTCAATTAACCACATTTGTGTGGATATATTTCTGGGCTTTATTCTGTTCTATTGGACTGCGTCTACACCTCTGTCAGTACCACATACCCTGGATTACTATACCTCTATAGTAAGCCTTAAAATCAGGTGATTCCTTCAACTTTATTCATATTTTTCAAAATTGCTTCAGGTATTCTAGATCCTTTACCTTCCCATATAAACATTATAATTGGCTTGTCTATATCTACAAAAAAAGAATCCTACTGGAATTTTAGCTGAAATTGTGTTAAATCTATAAGTCAACTTGAGAAGAACTGAAATATTTGCTATAATACGTTAAGGGCCTTAATCCATGAACACAATATGTCTCTACAGTTACGAGGTCTTGGATTTCTTCTACCAGACTTTTGTAGTTTTCAGCATATAAATCTTATATATGTTTTGTTAAAGTTATACCTAAGTATTTTATTTGTTTGGAAATATTATAAATTGTATTTTTTATTCCAGTTTCCAATTGCATATCGTTAATATATAGATATAGTACATTTTTGTGTATTGACCTTAAATCATACAAATTTAACTAATAGTTTTTTAATTTTCAATGTAGACACTGCAATTTTTAATAGAAAGAATTTTTTCTGAGAATAGAGATGGTTTTTTTTCTTCCTTTCCAATTTGTTTGCTTCCCCCTGCCACCCACACACCCCCCGCCCCCATTCTTTCCTTATTACACTGGCTAGGACTTCTAGCATGATGTTGAATAGCAGTAGTGAGAGTGGACATCCTTGCCATGTCCAATGGTCTGAATGTTTGAATCCCCCAAAACGTATATGCTGAAATCAACCCCAAAGTGATGGTGTTAGGTATTGCAGCCTTTTGAGAAGTGATAAGGTCATGAGGGCAAAGCCCTCATGGTTGAGATTAGTGCCCTTATAAAAGAGACCATAGAGGGCTGGCTAGCTAGCCCCTTTCACTGTATGAAGATAGAGCTAACAAGGTACCATCTATGAGGATGACAGTGCTCGGCAGACACCAAATCTGTTGGCACCTTGGCCTTGAAGTTTCCAGCCTCCAGAACTGTTAAGAATAAATGTTTGTTCTTTATAAGCCAACAAGTTTGTGATATTTTTGTTATAGCACCCCAAATGAACTGAAAGAATGCAATCTTCCAACACTGTTTGACATAGCTATAAGATTTGTTGGTAGATGTCCTTCATAAGGTTGAAAAAGTTTTCTTCTACTTCTAGTGTGTTCCTCATGAGAGTTCTTGTCATAAATGGATGCTGCATAATGTCAAATTCTGTTTTCTGTATCAACTGACATAACCATGTGAGTTTCTTCTTTAGACTGTTTTTCCTATTGTTTAAAGCAGATTTTATTTCATCAGTGTCATTTCTTATCTAAATGCTTGATAACATTTGGCAGAGAAACCACGTGAGTCTGGAGGTCTAGAGATTTCTTCCTTCCTTTTTTTTTTTTTTTTTTTTTTGAGACAGAGTCTCGCTCTGTTGCCCCAGCTGGAGTGCAATGGTGTGATCTCGGCTCACTGCAACCTCCACCTCCTGGGTTCAAGTAATTCTCCTTCCTCAGCCTCCCGAGTAGCAGAGATTACAGGCATGCACCAGCATGCCCAAGTTAATTTTTTTTATTTTTAGTAGAGATGGAGTTTCACTAAAAATACAATATGTTGGCCAGCCTGGTCTTGAACTCCTGGTCTCAAGTGTCCTGCCCACCTCAGCCTCCCAAAGTGCTGGGATTACAGGCATGAGCACCGTGCCCGGCCAAGGGGAACTTCTTTTTAAGGCTTTAAACCATGAATTCCATTCTTTATAGTTATAGATAACCTATTTAGATTATCTATTGCATCTTGGTTGAGTTTTGACAGTTTGTGGTTTTGGAAGAATTGTCCATTTGATCCAAGCTGTTAAATGTATATAGAGAGAACTGTTGTCAGATTCCATTACAAAGCTTTTAATGTCTGCAGGGCCTGCAGGGTAATGATATCCTCTGTTTCACTGATACTGGGAACTTATGTTTTCTTTTGTTCTCTTTGACTCTCTTGCTAAAGGTTTATCATTTTATTGATCTTTTCAAAGAGCTAGCTTTTGGTTCCATTGATTTTCTCTATTGTTCTTCTATCTTCAATAACACTAATTTCTACTTTCATCACTATTTCTTTCCTTGTACTTATCTTCCATTTATTATGCTCTTAATATTTTTCTCATTTCATAAGTGAAGGCTTAAATTATTGATTGAATACTTTTCTTTCTAAATAAGCTTTTAATGCCACAAAGTTCTCTCTAAGCACTGCTTTAAGCTATATCCCACAAATTTTGATAAACCATATTTTCATTTTCGTTCAGTTCAAAATATTTTTAGATTTCCCTTGAGACTTCCTCTTTGACTCATTGATTATTTATAAGGCTGCTGCTTAATTTTAATCTAAGAGTTTGAAGACTTTCTTGTTATTTTTCTCCTATTAATTTCTAGTTGAATTCCAGTATAGTGAGAGAACATACTTTTAATTATTGCAATCCTTTAAAATTTGTTCATGTTTGTATTATGACTCAAAATATGGTCTATCTTGGTGAATGTTCTATAGGCAGTTGAAAAAAGTGTATTCTGCTGTTGGATAGAATGTTCGATAAATATCAATCATATCTAGTCCGTTTGATGGTGAACTTCTATATTCTTGATGATGTTCTATTAGTTCTATTTATCACAAAAAAGAGTAAAAAGTCTCCAAATATAATTTTTAGATTTGTCTATTTTTCCTTTTATTTCTGTAAGTTTTTGTTTCAAGTATTTTGAAGCTCAGTTGTTAGGTATACACACATTTGGGATTCCTATGTTTTCCTGCTGAACTGATCTTATTTATTTATTTTTTCTCCTTTAAGTTCCAGGACACATGTGCAGAACGTGCAGGTTTGTTAAATAGGTATACATGTGCCATGGTGGTTTGCTGCACCTATTAACCCGTCACTTGTTTTAAGCCCCACATGTATTACCTATTTGTCCTGATGCTCTCCCTTCCCTCGCTCCCCACCAAAAGGCCCCACTGTATGTTGTTCCCCTGCCTGTGTCCATGTGTTCTCATTGTTCAACTCCCACTTATGAGTGAGAACATGTGGTGTTTGGTTTTCTGTTTCTGTGTTAGTTTGCTGAGAATGATGGCTTCCAGCTTCATCAATGTCCTGACAAAGGACATGATCTCATTCCTTTTCATGGCTGCATAGGATTCCATGGTGTATATGTATCACATTTTCTTTTTCCAGTCTATCATTGATGGGCATTTGGGGTGGTTCCATGTCTTTGCTATTGTAAATAGTGCTGCAATAAACATATGTGTGCATCTGTCTTTTTAGTAGAATGATTTGTATTCCTTTGGGTATATACCCAGTAATGGGATTGCTGAGTCAAATGGTATTTCTGGTTCTAGATCCTTGAATCACCATAATGTCTTCCACAATAATTGAACTAATTTACACTCCCACCAACAGTGTAAAAGCGTTTCTATTTCTCCATAGCCTCGCCAGCATCTATTGTTTCTCAACTTTTTAATAATCGCCATTCTGACTGGTGTGAGATGGTATCTCATTGTGGTTTTGATCTGCATTTCTCTGATGATCAGCAATGTTGAGCTTTTTTCATGTTTGTTGGCCGCATAAATGTCTTCCTTACTGAATTGTCTGTTCATATCCTTTGCCCACTTTATGAAGGGGTTTTTTTTTTCTTGTAAATTTGTTTAAGTTCCTTGTAGATTCTAGATATTAGACCTTTGTCAGATGGGTAGAGTGCAAATATTTTCTTCCATTTTGTAGGTTGCCTGTTCACTCATGAGTTTCTTTTGTTGTAAAGAAGCTCTTTAGTTTAATTAGATCCCATTTGTCAATTTTGGCTTTTGTTGCAATTGCTTTCAGCATTTTTGTCATAAAGTCCTTGCCCATGCCTATATCCTGAATGGTATTGCCTGGGTTTTCTTCTAGAGTTTTTATGGTTTGGGGTTTTACATTTAAGTCTTTAATTCATCTTGAGTTAATTTTTGTATAAGGTGTAGGGAAGGGGTCCAGTTTTGGTTTACCGTAGATGCTAGCCAGTTTTCCCAACATGATTTATTAAATAGAAAATCCTTTCCCCATTGTTTGTTTTTGTCAGGTTTGTTGAAGATCATATGGTTGCAGATGTGTGTTATTTCTGAGGCCTCTATTCTGTTCCATTGTCTATAAGTCTGTTTTGGTACTAGTACCATGCTGTTTTGGTTACTGTAGCCTTGTAGGATAGTTTGAAATCAGGTAACATGATGCTTCCAGCTTTGTTCTTTCTGCTTAGGATTGCCTTGACTATGTGGGCTCTCTTTTGGTTCCATATGAATTTTAAAGCAGTTTTTTCTAAATCTGTGAAGAATTTTAATTATAGTTTGATGGGAATAGCACTGAATCTATAAATTACTTTGGGCAGTATGACCATTTTCATGATACTGATTCTTCCTATCCATGAGGATGGAATGTTCTTCCATTTGTTTGTGTCCTCTCTTATTTCCTTGAAAAGTGGTTTGTAGTTCTCCTTGAAGAGGTCCTTTATGTCCCTTGTTAGCTGTATTCCTAGGTATTTTATTCTCTTTGTAACAACTGTGAATGGGAGTTCATTCATTATTTGGCTCTCTGCTTTTCCATTGCTGTTGTATAGGAACGCTTGTGATTTTTGCACATTGATTTTATACCCTGAGACTTTGCCTAAGTTGCTTATCGGCTCAAGGCATTTTTGGGCTGAGATGATGGCGTTTTCTAAATATAGTATCATGTCGTCTGCAAACAGAGACAATTCGACTTCCTCTCTTCTTATTTGAGTACCCTTTATTTCTTTCTCTTGATTGATTGCCCTGACCAGAACTTCCAATACTATGTTAAATAGGAGTGGTGAAAGATGGCATCCTTGTCTTGTGCCAGTTTTCAAAGGGAATGCTTCCAGCTTTTGCCTATTCAGTACGATACTGGCTGTGGGTTTGTCATAAATAACTCCTATTATTTTGAGATATGTTCCATCAATACCTAGTTTATTGAGAGTCTTTAACATGAAGGGATGTTGAATTTTATCAAAGGCTTTTTCTGCATCTATTGAGATAATCATATGGTTTTATCATTGGTTCTGTTTATGTGATAGATTATGTTTATTGATTTGCATATGGTGAACCAGCCTTGCATCCCAGGATGAAGCTGACTTGATCGTGGTAAATAAGCTTTTTGATGTGCTGCTGGATTTGGTTTGCCAGTATTTTATTGAGGATTTTCACACTGATGTTCATCAAGGATATTGGCCTGAAATTTTCTTTTTTTTGTTGTGTCTCTGCCAGGTTTTGGTATCAGGATGATGCTAGCCTCATAAAATTAGTTAGAGAGGAGTCCCTCCTTTTCAATTGTTTAGAATAGTTTCTGAAGGAATGATACCAGCTCCTCTTTGTACCTCTGGTAGAATTCAGCTGTGAATCTCTCTGGTCTTGGACTTTGTTTAGTTAGTAGGGTATCTATTACTGACTCAATTTCATAACTGGTTACTGCTCTATTCAGGGATTCAACTTCTTCCTGTACTTCAGTCTTGGGAGGGTGTATGTGTCCAGGTATTTGTCCATTTCTTCTAGATTTTCTAGTTTATTTGCTGGAGGTGTTAATAGTATTCTCTGAAGGTAGTTTGTATTTCTGTGGGATCAGTGGTGATATCCCCTTTATTGTTTTTTACTGTGTCAATTTAATTCTTCTTTTCTTCTTTATTAGTCTAGCTGGTGGTCTATTTTATTAATTTTTTCAAAAAACCAGCTCCTGGATTCAATGATTTTTTGAAGGGTTTTTCATGTCTCTATCTCCTTCAGTTCCGCTCTGATCTTAGTTATTTCTTGTCTCCTGCTAGTTTTTGGATTTGTTTGCTCTTGCTTCTCTAGTTCTTTTAGTTGTGATGTTAGGGTGTTGATTTGAGATCTTTCTAGCTTTCTGATATGGGCATTTAGTGCTATAAATTTCCCTCTTAACACTGCTTTCTTTAGCTGTGTCCCAGAGATTCTGGTACATTCCTTCTTTGTTCTCATTGGTTTCAAATAACTTCTTGATTTCTGCCTTAATTTCATTATTTACCCAGAAGTCATTCAGGAGCAGGTTGTTCAATTTCCAGGTAGTTGTGTGGCTTTTTGTTTGTTTGTTTGTTTGGAGACAGAGTCTCACTCTGTGGCCCAGGCTGGAGTGCAGTGGCGCGATCTCGGCTCACTGCAAGCTCTGCCTCCTGGGTTCATGCCATTCTCCCGCCTCAGCCTCCTGAGTAGCTGGGACCACAGGCGTCCGCCATCATGCCCGGCTAATTTTTTTGTATTTTTAGTAGAGACGGGGTTTCGTCATGTTAGCCAGGATGGTCTCGATCTCCTGACCTCATGATCCACTTGCCTCGGTCTCCCAAAATGCTGGGATTACAGGCATGAGCCACCATGCCTGGCCTGTTTGTTTGTTTTTGAGATGGCATCTCACTCTGCCACCCAGGCTGGAGTGCAGTAGTGCAATCTCAGCCCATTGCAACCTCTGCCTCCCGGATTCAAGCAATTCTCCTACCTCAGCCTCCCGAGTAGCTGGGACTACAGGCGCACACTGCCACACCTGGCTAATTTTTGTATTTTAGTAGAGATGGGGTTTCGCTGTTTTGCCCAGGCTGAACTCCTGAGCTCAGGCAATCCGCCCACCTCGGCCTCACAAAGTACTGGGATTACAGGCATGAGCCATCGCACCTGGCCAGTTGTGTGGTTTTGAGTGAGTTTCTTAATTCTGATTTCTAATTTGATTGCACTATGGTCTGAGAGACTGTTACAGTTTCAGTTATTTTGCATTTGCTGAGGTGTGTTTTACTTCCAATTATGTGGTCAATTTTAGAGTAAGTGCTATGTGGCACTGATAAGAATGTACACTCTGTTGTTTTGGGGTGGAGAGCTCTGTAGATATCTATTAGGTCCACTTGATCCAGAGCTCAGTTCAAGTCCTGAATATCCTTGTTAATTGTCTGTCTCGTTGATCTAACATTGACAGTAGGGTGTTAAATTCTCCCACTATTATTGTGTGGGAGTCTAACTCTCTTTGTAGGTCTCTAAGAACTTGTTTTATGAATCTGGGTGCTCCCATACTGGGTGCATATATATTTAGGATAGTTAGCTCTTCTTGTTGAATTGATCCCTTTACCATTACGTAATGCCCTTTGTCTTTTTTTTGATCTTGGTTGGTTTAAAGTCTGTTCTGTCAGAGACTAGGATTGCAACCCCTGCTTTTTTCCACTTTCCATTTGCTGGATACATTTTCCTCCATCCCTTTATTTTGAGCCTATGTGTGTCTCTGCACATGAGATGGGTCTCTTGAATACAGCAAACCAATGGGTCTTGACTCTATCCAATTTGCCAGTCTATATCTTTTAATTGGGGCATTTAGCCTATATACATTTAAGGTTAATACTGTTATGTGTGAATTTGATCCTGTCATCATGACGCTAGCTGGTTATTTTGCATGGTAATTGATGCCGTTTCTTCATAATGTCATTAGTCTTTATATTTTTGTGTGCTTTGCAGTGGCTGGTACTGGTTTTTCCTTTCCATATTTAGTGCTTCCTTCAGGAGCTCTTGTAAGGCAGTCCTGGTGGTGGCAAATTCCCTCAGCATTTGCTTATCTGAAAAGGATTTTATTTCTCCTTAGCTTATGAAGCTTAATTTGGCCAGACATGAAATTCTGGGTTGAAAATTGTTTTCTTTAAAAATGTTGAATATTGACCCCCACTCTCTTCTGGCTTGTAGGGTTTCTGCTGAGAGGTCTGCTGTTAGTCTGGTGGGCTTCCCTTTGTAGGTGACATGGCCTTTCTCGCTGGCTGCCCTTAATATTTTTTCCTTCATTTTGACCTTGGTGAATCCGATTATGTGCCTTAGAGTTGATCTTCTCATAGAGTATCTTAGTGGAATTCTCTGTATTTCCTAATTTGAATGTTGTCCTGTCTTGCTAGGTTAGGAAAGTTCTCCTGGATAATATCCTGAAGTGTGTTTTCCAACTTGGTTCCATTCTCCCTGTCTCTTTCAGGTATTCCAATCAGTCTTAGGTTCGGTCTTTTTACATAGTCCCATATTTCTCAGAGGTTTTGTTCATTCCTTTTCATTATTTTTTCTTTAATCTTGTCTGCCTGCCTTATTTCAGCAAGAGAGTCTTCCATCTCTGATATTCTTTCTTCTGCTTGACTGATTCAACTATTGATACTTGTGTATGCTTCACGAAGTTCTCACGTTGCATTTTTCAGCTTCATCAGGTCGTTTACGTTCCTCTTTAAACTGGTTATTCTAGTTAGCAGCTCTCTAATCTTTTATCAACGTTCTTAGCTTCTTTGTTTTGGGTTAGAACATGCTCCTTTACCTCAGCGAAGTTTGTTGTTACCCACCTTCTGAAGCCTGTTTTTGTCAATTCATCCATCTCATTCTCTGTACAGTTCTGCGCCCTTGCTGGAGAGGTGTTGCGATCATTTAGAGAAGAGGCACTCTGCCTTTTGGGTTTTCAGCGTTTTTTTCATTGATTCTTTCTCATCCTCATGAGTTTGTCTAGTTTCGATCTTTGAGCCTGCTAACCCTTGGATAAGGATTTTTGTGGAGACTTTTTTGTTGAAACTGTTGTTGTTACTTTCTGTTTTTCTTTCAATAGTCAGGTCCCTCTTCTGCAGAGCTGCTGCGGTTTGCTGGGGGTTCACTTTAAGCCCTATTCATCTGGTTCACTCCTGCATCTGGAAATGTCACTTGAGGAGACTGGAGAAGAGTGGAGATGGGTGCCTGCTCCTTCCTCTGGGACCTCTGACCTCGAGGGGCACTGACCTGATGCCAGTAGGGATGCTCCTGTATAGGATGTCTGACAACCCCTGTTGGCGGGGGCGGGGGTGGGGTCTCACCCAGTTGGGTGGCACAGGAAGCAGGGCCCATTTAACAAAGCACTTTGGCTATCTCTTGGTGGAGGGGGTGTGCTGTGCTGGGGGGAAACTCACTCATCTGGGCTGCCCAGATTCGTCAGTGCTCGCAGGAGGAAAGACTAAGTCTGCTGGTCCACAGAGACTACGGCCATCCCTCCCCCTAGGGGTTCAGGCCTAGGGAGATCAGAGTTCTGTCCCTTAGCCCCTAGTTGGAGACGGAGTTCCTGCAAGGAAGCCCTGAAGCTGCAGTGTTGGCTGCCACCCCTCCCACAAGGAGCGTAGGTGGCTTAGACAGCAGGCAGCCACAGCAGTGGTGGTGGCTGCCCCTTCCCCTGGGGATTTGGCTGGCTTAGGCCAATTCTAGCCCAGTGAGAATCTGCACGGCTCCATGGTTGGGACCCAAGGCCCCAGTAGCATGGGCTCACGAGTGGGATCTTCTGATCTGTGGGTTGCACAGTTCCGTGGAAAAAGCACGGTTCCCAAGGCTGGGTAGCACACTCACTAACCACCTCCCTCAGCTAAGGGTGGGGGCTCCCCTGCCCTGTGTGGCTCTCAGGTGGGCCGCCGCACCACACTGCTCTTCCTTCCTCTCCGTGGGTCATGCCGGCTGCCTAGTCAGTCCTAATGACCAAACCTGGATATCTTGGTTGCCGGTGCAAGATTAATACACTGTTTTGGATCTTTTCCATGGGAGCTTCCAATCGGCCATCTCGGCCCCGCCCCCCTCGAATTGACCATTTAATCACTATGTAACATTCCTCTGTATTCCTGGTCACTTTCTTTGCCTACTTTAAGCTTTACTCACTAAATGTTAATTATGATTAGTGTTTGCATAATATATGTTTTGTATTCTTTTACTTTTAATAATCTTCCAATATCATTATTTTTGAAGTCAATTTCTTATGCACAGTAATTTGCTGGGGTTTTTTTAGAGTCTAATAGGATAATCTATTTGGGTTGTTTTGTTTAGACTATTTCTATTTAATATAATCATTGCTATATTTGGATTTTTACCTATTTTGTTATTGTTTTATTTCCTGTTTCTCATTTCCTCTTTCTTGCCTTCTTTTGTGTTAAATAATTTTAGTATTCCATTTTAATGTATCTATTGTGTTTTCTACTATATTACTTGGTATAGCTTTTTAAGTGATTGTTCCAGGAATTACAATAATTATCTTTTCAGAGCTTACTTAGAATCAACATTTTTACAATGCAAAATATATTACACGGAAGAAACCCTACCACCATATAGGTTACTTTACCATCCCCCCTTTAAGTTACAGTAATCTTAAATATGCTTTGAACCATAAAATATATACTGGAGAACTCAAGAGTGTATTATATTCCCAGATAAATCTGCTATTTCTGTTCCTCTTCTTCATTCTTGATGTGCCACTATTCCTTCTGATATCGTTTCCCTTCTGTCTGAAAAACTTCATTTTGCTATTATTTAGTACAGCCCTGCTAGTTGAATTCTCTGACTTTTCCTTCACCTAAAACTGCCTTTGTTTCACCTTCATTTATAAAGGCTATTTTTGCTGGATACAGAATTCTAAGTTTACAATTCTCTTCTTTCTATGCTCTGCTATGCCACTTCCTTAAGGCCTCCAGGGTTTCTGGTGTGAAATCCACAGTCTTCTGAATCATTGTTTCCTTATATGTAATGTGTTGTTTTTCTCTGGGCTTTCAAGTATTTTCTTTGCCTTAATTTTTAGAAGTTTGATTATGATGTGTCTGAATGCAGGCTTCTTTGGGTTTATCTTGCTTGGGTTCACTGGGCTTCTAGAATTTGTAGGTTTATGTCTTCTGCCAACTTGGAAACTTTCCAGTTTTGCACTACATCCTTTGTCCTCTCCGGCTGGGACTCTAAAGACATATTAGACTTTTTGTTCTCATTCCACAGGTCCCTGAAACTCTGTTCATTTGTTTTCCCATCTTTATTATCTCTGTCATTCAGACTGCATAATTTCTACTGATCTATCTTCAACTTCATTGATTCTTTCCTCTGTCACCTCTGTTCTGCTACTGAGGCCATGCAGTGAGCTTCTCATTTTAGTTATGGTATTTGGTTCCTCTTCACATCATCTATTTCTTGCCTGAGAACTTTGTTTCTCCATTTGTTTCACAAGTATTTGGGCCAGCTTGTTGAAATATTTGTAAACTACATGCTTTAAAGTTTGTCAGATAATTCCAACATCTACATTATCCCACATTGGCATCCATTGTCTCTTCCCATGCAAGTTGAAATTTTCCTGGTTTTTCCTATGCTGAATAATTTTGGACTGTACCATGAACATTTTGGATATTACGTTACAAGATTCTGGGTCTTCTGGGGAATGTTAACAATTTTTAGTTTTCAAAGCCTTTGCACTGCTTTTCAGATGTGTGCCCTGCGTACACCACAGAGTGGCCAGTCTGAGTGGTTATCTATTAGTTCAGCTCTCAAGATCATTTATATGCTAAGTAGAATAAATCCACGCATGCAGAACACAGAGGTGAGCCAAAGAGTTCATGGATAACTATATGGAGTTGCATTCATGGGCTCTCTGTGATCTCCCAAATACTTCCAGGTTTCTTGGGGTTCCTTTTTAGTCCTCTAGCCTATGGACTTCTGCCTCTGGGGCCAAATGGCAGGATGATAAGAGGGGAAAAAATGGTAATCTCATTGCCAGCTTAGTGGTACTTCAAGTTCTGGTCTTCTTTCCCAATGTGCCTGCCACTATTTGTTTTTCAGAGTTATCAAATAGTCGCTCCAGGCATTCTGTCCAGGTTTTATAGTTGCATACAGTCGAAGACAGGAAGGCATGTACTTATCCATCCTTCCCAGAACTGGAAACTCAGGGCCAGATTTTTTAAATAAGACTTTTTTCTCCCTGCTTTGTGTCCTTTTAAACATCAGAGAAAGTCCAAAAACTGTTCAATTTGGCTAAATGAAAAAATAAAGGCACAGCTCTCCCATGAATGTTTCAAAAACTAAATATGGGTTTAATCTTTCCATATAGTAAAGGGCTAGATTCCTGGAAGTAGAGAGTATCCATGAGCATCTAATGCTTCATTTAAGTTATCTGAACATATCAAACACTCACTTGCTTAATACCAAGTATTACTGACCAACTTTAAACAATCATTAAGCCAAATCTTTTCAACCAAAGAATCAGAGAGAAAGATTAGTTATGATAAGAATTTACAGTAGTATTTCTTTTCTTTTTTTGAGACAGAATCTCACTTTGTCACCCAGGCCCTGGAGTGCAGTGGCACAATCTCAGCTCACTGTAACCTCTGCCTCCTGGGTTCAAGTGATTCTCCTGCCTCAGCCTCTCAAGTAGTTGAGACTACAGGCACACACCACAACGCCTGGCTAATTTTTGCATTTTTAGTACAGGCGGGGTTTCACCATGTTGGCCAGGCTGGTCTCGAACTCCTGACCTCAAGTGATCTGCCTGCCTCAGCCTCCCAAAGTGCTGGGATTATTGTGAGCCACCATGCCTGGCCCAGAGTAGTACCTCTCAGTTCAGTGACAGGTGACTTTAACCTTGGCCCTTAATGTATACACACAAAACTCTAAAACAAATACTATGAAAAATGTTTCTGAATATATGTTCTTCTTAAAGCCATAAATCTAAATTTACTATGTATGCTTTCAGATGCAATAAGCTAGATATACTGACGAAGTCAATAATAACATATGGAGCCCTGTCACAGGGAATGGGAGGGGAGTAGACTTTGTAGTTTTGAGTCACTAGCATTCCACTAGTCAGAATAAGATCAGCTGCAATGACTCAGTTATTTTCAGGAACTCAGAATTGCCAACCGTGGCATAATCTAATGCTTTAAAGGGATTTTTAATAAAGAATAAAAATTAGAAAACCACCTATGGGTTCTGACAGAGGAAATCCTAAAAACAGAGAGGTCCCCTGCATGGTGCTACAGTAGTATATATAATTTTGTTATAGTTAAATGCATAAATCCTCCAGGTAATAATTTAAGACTCCTCTAAGAGGACTGAAATCATAATTCTCAGGTGAAAATACTAATAGTCCCTTCAAAGTTCAGCTCACATGCTATCATGAATGCTTTATCCTTCACAGATCTTTCCTTTTCTGTAAAACTACAGCACCGGCTTCCATACAACCACGGCCTGCTTGGGTACATACAAGAACTAGAGTGTAAGCTCCAGGAAGGCAGTTTCATGTATCTTAATGCAAGCGTATAACATTAAAGAAATGCTAGAAAACACTTGTTGACTATAAAATGTCTGTAATAATCAAAATCAAAATCAATAAAGTCAGGCTTTAAAATATCTTAAATGACTACCAAAAAAGTCACAAATTCCAGTGCTATAATTCATATCAAAGGAGGGGGAAACATAAACTGTTTCATTTCTAAATCACTAGGGAAGCTCACAGACATTTCAAAGCATCATCATTCTTTATGGGAGAAATGGAGAATAATGGAGAAACTAAAACATTTTCCAAGGGTACAATATCAGAGAAGTAACAGAATCAAGACAGGTCCATTTAGAAAATAAATTAATCTGTGCTAGATCCACTAACATAAACAGAAGATTTATTCTCACTCAGAATAAAAATCTACCCCTCCCAATTTTCACCACATGCTATACTTATTCACTGGTACTATTCTGCCTACTTAGAGCTCAAATATTTTAACTTTGGCCTCCTTGGAAGGCAGTCAATACCCATAGACTGACCTAAAAAAGAATAAAAAGCTCTCTATACTAAGTCACAAAATACACACTGAGAAGCTGACATAGTTTAACTGTAAAATCACAACAAATACTCACCACTCCAATTCTTTACAAAAAGAGGCTATGTAAAAAATCTCCATATTTGACTTTGCATTTAAACTGTTGGTAATAAATATAAAAATTATCTTTGATTAACCAAAAGATATAGAGATAAGTTTATTAGCCTTTCAAAAAAATGAAGAACTGGAAATTAAAGTTATGATACAAATCCAATCTATTTCTCCCAAAAAAGTTACACCCAATGTTAGTATACTATCTATCAGTACAAACTTTAAGGCTGGCATTTTTATAACATACCACCAGCCTTAGAATTTTGAATGTCTTTTGATCTAGCAGTTGTATTTCTACAAATATATCCTAAAGAAATAATGTACACTGCATTAACAGGAAAAAAATTAGAAACTAGGATTATATCCTATAAAATGAAATATGTAGTCATTAAAAAGGTTGATACAGATCAGTATGAATATGACCATCACAGAAAATTATGAGATAGTAAGTGGAAAAGTAGGTTATAAAGTGGTACTTCTGATATGACCTCATTTTAAAAATTACATTGCTGTTAAGAAAAATACTGGAAAGATAAACCAAAGAAATACCAATGTTGTTTTTGTTCAGAGTGGTAGAATTAAAGAGAATTTATTTGCTTATTTTAGTTTACAGGTATTTAATTTGTGAGCAATAAACACATATGTATTACTTTTGTAATGTGGAATTAATTTTAAGTTTTGTTTTGTTTTGTTTTGAGCCAGAGTCTCACTCTGTCACCCAGGCTGGAGTACAGCGGCACAATCTCGGCTCACTGCAACCTCCACCTCCCAGGTTCAAGCTAGTCTCCCAAGTGGCTGGGATTACTGGCACATGCCACCATGTGGCTAATTTTCATATTTTTAGTAAAGACGGGTTTCACCACATTGGCCAGGCTGATCTCAAATTCCTGGCCTCAAGCAATGCAACCGCCTCGGCCTCCCAAGTCCCGGGATTACAGCCATGAGCCACCGCGCCCAGCCCTATTTTTAAGGTTTTTGAAAGGACTTCTTACCACTTCCCTCCTCTATTCACAATTTTTTCAACTATTCAGACCACATTCATTCAATGTGATTAAGTAAGAGGTCATTCCCAAGCCTGCAGATTGTTTTATACTATTTTAAACTGTATGTTATTTTACAAACAATATCGCTATAGATTATAATGCAAGATGAGATGCTTCCAGAGGGGCTTGCTAAAGATAGTTAATCCCACTCAATTTCTACAGCAAATGTGAAACATTTGATAATATGATAACATTTTATCACTGCAGGCAAAACATCCCTGCATTGGGATCCATCTATTTTATCTCTGAAATTGCAGTCTTCTGTCAATTTTTCTCTTAAAAATATATGTATATATAAGAACTCCAACTAGAAAAGAGAGAGTCAGGTTGGATGAATGTGGGAGACACAACTATATGCTGCCTTTTAAAAAAAAACCCACTGTAAATAAAAGGTAGAAAAATTAAAAGGTGAGAAAAAGATTACCATGCTAATACTAATCAAGAGAAAGCTAAAGTTATTTATATCAGGCAAGGTAGATTTCAAAACATCGAATATTACTAGGGACAAAGAGTAACATTTCTTGATGTTAAAAGGATCAACTCATTAACACCGAACAACCTTAAATGTGTAAGTACTAACTACAGAGCTTAAAAATTCATGTAGCAAAAACTTATAGAGCCAAAAGAAGAAATAAATCAACAATGGTAATCAAAAATTTTACTACTACTCACTCAGTAATCAATACAGTAAGCAGATACAAAATTAGTAAGGTATAGAAGACATGAACAACATACTATCATCCAACTTCAACTAATTGACATTTATAAATACACTCCACCCATGAACAGTGCAATGCACATTCTTTTTGATCGTTGATGCACTTAGAACATTCACTAAGACAGACCATATTCTGGGCCGTAAAACAAATCTCAGATAAGTTTTCTTTTTTTTTTTTTTTTTTTTTGAGACGGAGTTTCGCTTTTGTTGCCCAAGCTGAAGTGCAATGGCGTGATCTCAGCTCACTGCAACCTCTGCCTCCCAGGTTCAAGCGATTCTCCAGCCTCAGCCTCCCAAGTAGCTGGGATTACAGGCATGCACCACCATACCTGCCTACTTTTTTGTATTTTTAGTAGAAACAGGGTTTCACCATGTCAGCCAGGCTGGTCTCAAACTCCTGATCTCAGGTGATATGCCCACCTCGGCCTCCCAAAGTGCTGGGATTAGAGCCGTGAACCACCATGCCCGGCCACTAAATTTAAGAGGACTGAAATCATACAAAATATGTACACTTGTCTCTCAGTATTTGTGGGGGATTGGTTCCAGGGCCCCCCATAGATACCAAAATCCATAGATGCTCAAATTCCTTATATAAAATTCCTTGTATAAAATGTCACAGTATTTGCATATAACCTACACACATCCTCCTATATACTTCAAATAATCTCTAAATTACTTATAATACCTAATATAATGTAAATGCTATATAAATAACAATAGTATATTGTTTTTAAAATCTGTATTATTTTTATTGTTGTAATTTTTTTTTCCTAAATATTTTCAATCTGTGGTTGCTTGAATCCATGATGCAGAACTTGTGGATCTGGAGAGCTAACTGTACTCTGATGAAAGAAAAATTAAACTAGAAATAATTAAATGAAAGATAACAGCAAAATTGCCACATATTTAGATATTAAACTACGTACTTCTCATAACCCATGTGTCAAAGAAGAAATCATACAGGAATTATTACAAAGTATTTTAAACTAAATAAAAACAAAAACACATGGAATTAAAGTTTGTGGGATACAGTTAAAATGATACTTAAAAGGATATTTTAGCATAAAATACTTGTTAGAATAAAAGAAAAGTTATAAATCAGTGATTTAGGTTTCCACACTAAGAAACTAGAAACAATACGGTAAATTAAACACAAAGTGAACAGAAGAAAATAATTAACAGCAAAAATCACTGAAACAGAAAACAAAACAAACAAAAAGAATAATAAAAATCATTGAAACCAAAAACTTATTATTTAAAAAGATTAATAAAATTTATTAACATCTACCCAGGCTAATCATGAAATGAAGATACAAGTGCTATACCAGAAAAACAGATCTTACAGACACTAAGAGGATAAGGGAATATTATAAACAATTTTATGTCAACAAATTTGACAACTTAGATGAAGTGGACAAATTCCTCAAAAGACATGAACTAAGAAACCTCACCTAAGAAGAAAAAGATAAGTAGTCCTATATCTTTCAAAGAAATTGAAATTATAAAATGTCTCCACAAATAATCATTTTACAATGTATATGTATATCAAAATGTCACCTTATATACCTTGAACATACCATTTTTGTCAATTATACCTCAATAAAGCTGAAAAAACAAATAATAAAGTAAAATAAAATATCCCCACAAAGAAAGCTCTAGGGCCAGATGGCTTCAACAGTGACTCTACCAGCCATTTAAGGAAGAAATAATAATCTATAATAAGTCTATAAGTAATAAAAACATGGAGCCAGGCACAGTGGTGCACACCTGTAGTCCCAGCTTCTTGGGAGGTTGAGGTGGGAGGATCACTAGATCCCAGGAGTTCAAGACCAGCCTTGGACTTTTGAGAGATCTTGTCTCAAAAAAAGAAAAGAAAAGAAGGAAAAGGAAAGAAAGAAAGAATATAAATTAACATAAACAAACTCTTCTAGAAAATAGAAGGAACACTTCTCACCTCATTTCATGAGGCCAGCATTACCCTAATAATAAAACCAAAGACACTACAAGAAAACTGATAAGCCTCATAAACAGAGATGCACAAATCCTTGTCACAATTTAAGAAATCAAAAACAGTAATATATAAAAATTACCAAGTGAGATTTATTCCAGGAATGAGAGGTTGGCTTAATACTCAAACATAATCAATGCAATTTACCATCTTAACAGACTGAAAATAAAAAGCCACACAATCACTGCAAAAGGTTTGGAAATAACATTTGAAAAAAATCAACACAAATTTTTTATTTAAAAAAAAATCACTAAATATCAGGAAACTTCCTCAACTTGATAAAGGACATCCATGAAAACCCTACTGTTAACATCACACTTAATGGTGAAAGATGAATGCTTTCCTATTCATCAGGAACAAGGTGAGGATGTACACTTTTGCCACTTCTATTCATTACTATACCAGTAAAATAAGGCAAATGAGTGAAATAAGCCAAGTGAAATAAGGCAAGAAAATGAAATAATAGGCACACAGCTTGATTTATAGATATTATGAAAATCCTAAGACTATACAGAAAAAAGCTAATAGAGCTAATAAGAGAGTTTAACAAAGTAATTCAAGATCAATATACAAAAATCAATCATATTTCTAAATACTAACAAAATACTAGAAATTAAAGATTGTTTAAAAATACCATGTATAACATAAAAAATGAAATATTTAAAATGAAACATGTGTAAGACCTGTATACTGAGAAGTAAAAAATATTGCTGAGAAAAATTAAAGAAGACCTAAAATATAGAGAGAGACACACCATGTTCATGAATCGAAAGATCCAACATTGTTAAAATGTAAATTCTCCCCAAATTGATCCACAGATTCAGTGCAATTCTAATGAAAATCCCAGTAGCTTTTCTTCCAAAATTGAAAAGCTGCTCTTACATGCAAAATCAAAAGACCAAGAATAGCCAAAAAAAAATTCTGAAAAATAAAAACAAAGGTGTAGAATTTATACTATCTGCAACTACATACTTCCAAGATTTACTATAAAGCTACAGTAATCAACACAGTGTAATACTAAGGAAAGACATGTAGATGAACAGAATACAGGGTCCACAAAAAGACGAGCACACACAGCCAACTGTCTTCCATAGGTTCCAGGATAATGCAAGGGAGCAGGGGGATATACAGTCTTTTCAATAATGATGCTGAAAATTGGGTATCCATATGCAAAAAAACGAACCTTGACCATTATATCACCTACATATAAAATTTTAATTTGAAATGGATCATAGGCCTAAATGTAAGAGCTAAACTATAAAATTTCAAGAAGAAAACTTAGGAAAACAATCATTACGACTGTGAGTTAGGTAAAATTCTTAGGACACAAAAAGCATAAACTGTGAAAGTAAAAATTGAAAATTAGACTTCATTAAAATTAAACTTTTGATCTTCAAAACGCACTGTTAAGAAACCGAAAAGGAAAACCAGATTGGAAGGAAATATTTGTAAAACATCTCTCTGATAAAAGATCAGTATACTGACCACATAAAGAACATTGTAAGACAAGCAATTTGGTTTTCTTTAAAGGACATATATTTGAACATACACTCTGCAAAAGATAAGATACCCAAATGGCAAAAATAAGCACAAGAAAAGCTGTTCAAGTTCATTAGTCATTAAGGAAGTGTATATTAAAACGACAAGGAGATTCCACTACATACCAACTTGGATGGCTAAAATTTAAAAGACTGACAATAGCAAGTGATGCTGAGGAGCAACTAGAACTCTCATAAATTACTGGCAGTTTCTTATAAAATGGAACATACACTTACCATATGAACCAGCAATTCACTCCTAGGAGTTTATTCATGAAAAATGAAAACATATGTCTACACAAACATTTGTAATTGAATGTTCATAACAGTTTTATTCGAAACAACCCAAAACGGGGGAAAATACTCAAATGTCCATGAACTGGTGACTCTATCCATAAAATGGGAATACCACCCAGTAATAAAACACAAAAACCTACTGACATGTGCAACAATGTGGATCAACCTCAAGAGCATTATTCTAAGAAGCCAGACACAAAAGACTACATAATATGTGATTCCATTTATACAAAGTTCTAGATAAGTCAAAACTATAGTGACAAAAAAGCAGGGGGAACAAAACAGTTGGTGTGGATGTTAAATTGACATAAAGGGAAATGAGAAGTTTTGGGGGTGATGGAAATGCTATCATGATTGTGGTAGTGGTTACCTGATTCAATGACTGTCAAAACTCATTAAATTGTACATTTAAAATTGGTGACTCCTACTGCGTGTAAATTATCTAAATAAAGTTGATTTTAAAATAATAAAGCACATACACACCAAAAAATATATGCTTTATCATATACAAGATTCTTTATAAATACTAGGGGTGAAAAGATAAATAACATGTGGTTCTGCACCCATGCTCCCTTGACTGACGAGGAAAACAAGACATACGTACTGATGGTCAACGTTTATCACAATAGTGTAATAAAAGAAACATGCAGGTTTGAATGGTAGCCCACGTGAGGGACAACGAACCCAGACTGCGAGTGGGAGACAGAGAGAGTTAGGAAAGGCTTCTTGGAAGAGGTAATATCCAAGATGTGCCTTGAGTGATAATGAGCTATTCATTCATTCATCCAAAGTGACTCAAAGGCTATAACAGATGACAGATTTAAAAATTACAGTATAGTGAGGTAAACCCAGTAACAAAATTATGCATAGCACATTATGGGAGGACAGAGGATGAGTAATCAAACCAGCCTAAGTAGGCCCAAGGACAGCTTCCTAGAGGCAACGCCCAGAGTGGAATCTTTAAAGCAGTGATTCACAACAAAAAATGAGCATCAGAATCCCTTGCGAAACTTTTTCTGAACAAACATGACTGATGTGAGTCCATCCTAGCCACTTGCATCAAAAACTTCAGGACGACCAGAAATCTGAAGTTGCCCAGGTGAATCTGATGTTAAGTTTCATCATTACATAAGAAACTAGCTTATACATAGAGCACCCACTATATCAATAATAAGAATAATAGCCAGGACTTACTGACTGCTTTCTACATGCCAGGAACTGTTTTAAGAGCTTTATATGTTTTATCTCAATTAATCCTCGCAATAACCCTATGAGATAGGCACTCTTATCAACAGATCTGCATTTTTGTTTTTGTTTTTTTGTGATGGAGTCTCACTCTGTCACAAGGCTGGAGTGCAGTGACGCAATTTCAGCTCACTGCCATCTCTGCCTCCCGGGTTCAAGCAATTCTCCTGCCTCAGCCTCCCGAGTAGCTGGGATTACAGACACACACCACCACACCCAGCTAATTTTTGTATTTTTAGTAGAAATGGGGTTTCACCATGTTGGCCAGGATGGTCTCAAACTCCTGACCTTGTGATCCACCCACCTCTGCCTCCCAAAGTGCTGGGATTACAGGCGTGAGCCACCACACCCGGCCAAACAGATCTACATTTTAAAAAGATCTCTCGGGCCCTCATACACTTCTTGTGAGAATTTAAAATGGTGCAATCACTTTAGAGAACAATCTGAAGGTTCCTTCAAAGGCTAAACGCAGAGTTACCATATAACCCAACAATTCCACTTCTAGGTACATACCTAGGAGAAATGAAAACATGTGTCCACACAAAAAATTGTGTAAAAACGTTCACAGCAGCATTATTCATAACAGCCAAAAACCTAAAACCACCCAAATGTCTATCAACTGATAAAAGTATAAACAAAATGTGGTATATCCATACAATGGGATATTATTTGGGAATAAGAAAGAATTAAGTACTGATACATGCTACAACATGGATGGACCTGGAAAATGCTAAATTAAAGAAGCCAGTCACAGAAGACCACATATCGTATCATCTCATTTACATGAAATGTTCA
This sequence comes from Homo sapiens, assembly GCF_000001405.40. Taxonomy (NCBI): domain Eukaryota; kingdom Metazoa; phylum Chordata; class Mammalia; order Primates; family Hominidae; genus Homo; species Homo sapiens. The sequence continues at coordinate 88,622,208 of NC_000004.12, read as the reverse complement.
AAATAAGCAAATCTATAGAAACAGAAAGTAGATTAATGGTTGTCCAGGGCTGAAGGGGAAAGGTAAGTGACTGCTAATGTGTATGGGTGGTTTCTTTTTGAAGAGATGAAAATGTTCTAAAATTGATTGTGGTGATGATTATACAACTCCGTGAATATACTAAAAACCATTGAATTGTACATGTTAAATGGGTAAATCATGTGGTATGCAAATTGTATCTCAATAACTGTTATTATAAAACAAAAATGTGTCACAGTGGAGGATGGGTCCAAACTTGAGTGCACAGGCTGTCATGGCCATGCAAGTACAACTATCTACTGCAGATATAGTCACATTGCTTCTAATTTCAGAATACTTACAGTTTTAGGGTTATAAAAGAAACTTTATACATATTTAGGTAAGGGAATTAACACACTGTAGGATGTCAATATTCAACATATTTGTGTCCCTAGCACCACTGGCATAATTCCAACCAATTTCACAAATCAGACAAACCTGCTGCAGTAATGCAGGCAGAATTTCTAGGGGTGACCTTTCTTTCTCCTCAGCTTCACATATGTAAGACATGCAGATCACTACAGGCCATCAAGCAAATGCCTGACAGCAAAAACTGTGTGATCCTGTCTAGAAATGAATTCCACATACCAGACATAGGAAGGAAAAATTAAAGGAAAATAATTCTATAAAATAGAGTTTGGGCTTGATTTTATTTGTAAAACAAACAAAAAAGATTCTATACTCCTTAATTAGAAAGTTTTTGTTTCACAATATAATCATTCATTTATCCAAAAAATACTTACTGAGGCCAGGCACGGTGGCTCACACCTGTAATCCCAGCATTTTGAGAGGCCAAGTGGGTTGATCACCTGAGGTCAGGAGTTTGAGACCAGCCTGGCCAACATGGCAAAACCCTGTCTCTACTAAAAGTACAAAAGTTAGCCAGGTATGGTGGCGGGCACCTGTAATCCCAGCTACTCAGGAGGCTGAGGCAGGAGAATCGCTTGAACCCAGGAGGTGGAGGTGGCAGTGAGCTAAGATCGTACCACTGCACTCCAGCTGGGTGACAGAGCGAGACTCCGACTCAAAAAAAAAACTTGCTGAAAGCTGCACTCACTATGTGCCACACAATGTTCTAGGTGTTGAGGATACAAAACAATGCCCTTATTCTCGTGGAGCTTAAACAAACAAAAGAGGTAAGAGAGGTATTGATTGTGACTGACTGAATAATATCAGATAGGGATAAATGCCCAAAGCAAGGAAGGGGGATACAGTGCTGGGAAGGGTAGGAAACACAGGGTAGTAAATGGAGGCATCTCTAATAAGGTGCCATGGGAGCAGAGACCTGAAGGAATAAAAGCATCAGGCATATAGGAACCAGAGGAACATAGGTCCTAGATAGTTCCCAAGTTACAGAATAGCAGGGTAAACACTCTGAGGAGGGACCAATGAAGCCAGAGGAACAGAGTATGCCAGGGAAGAGCCATAAGAGATGAGCTGAGAAAGCACTGGAAGATTTTGGGGAGAGGGATAATATGATTACTCTGTGGAGAGAGGGATTAAGGGAGGAAACAGGCACAACAATTAGAAATGACTGCAATGATCCAGGTGAGATATGATGGTAACTTGGACCAGAGAGGCAGGAAGAGGGGTAGAAGAGGTATGAGATCCTGAATATATATTCTCAAGACAGATCCTATGTAGATGGGGGTTTTCTTGAAAAATTAGATGTGGAATGTGAGAGAAGAAGACAAGACAAATCAGGGATGACTCCAAGGTTTTTGGCCTGAAGAATGGAAAGGCCATTTACAGAGATGAAGAAAACAGGGTAAGAAACAGGTTTAAGGGAGAAAAAACAGTGTTGCTTTGAATATGTTAGGTTTAAGGTAGCAATTACATATCCAAGTGGAGAATTTAAGTCAATATCAAGTCTGAAATTAAGTAGTTGAGGCTGAAGATAATTTGTGAGTCAACAGTATAAAGATGCTACTTAAAACTTTATCTTGTGACCCGTTATATTTATTCAACCTATTCCCTAGAGGATGAGTAAGCTATTTCTGTTATTTTGCCATTAACAGCATTGCTGCAATAAGCATACTTAGAAACATTTCCTTATGCTATATATTAACATTTTTATTTGCATAAGCTTCCTAAAAATGGAACTGTTCATTCAAAAGGTATGAACATTTTCAACTTTACTAAAACAGCCAGTTGACTGTATTACAAGATTTTAGCAGCTCACACCTGCTCAATCAGCACAACCCATTTTCCTACATGAGTGATCACTAGGTATTACTCTTTTAAAAATTTCTTGCCAATCAAATGGATGATGAAAAAGTGGAATCTCGTTTTCATTCCTATTTCCCTGAACATATTTGCATAAATTCACTGGCCATTTGCAAGCACTCCTTTGTAAAATGTCCATTTTATTACAGGATTGCTTATCTTTTTCTTATCAAATTAAAGGTACTCTAGCATATTAGAAATATGAAATCTTTGTCTGGCAACGTCTGGCAGTTATTTCTCCCAGTCTATCACTCACCTTTTGGCTTCGTTATGGGATGCCTTACGCCACAGGAAATTTTAAAATTTCATGCAAACCTACCAATCATTTCTCTTATGGCTTCAGGACCACGTTGAAACCCTCACGGTTGTAAACACATTCCCCTAATTTTTTTTCCTATTATTTTTATAGTTTTACTTTTTACATTCATGTCTTTCATACATCTGGAATTTACTTTAGAATATGGAGAGAGGTAGGGAGTCTAGTTCTGTATGCCAGGTGAACAGCCACTTATACCAACACCATTTATTAAGTAAAGCATCATTTCCCACTGAAATGCCCTGTTATCATATGCCTGACTGACCTGGGCAGCCATGCAGTCTTGACCAGAAATAAATTCTGCATGAAAGCCTGACTAAAAATAAGTCAAAGTGTCCTAGTACTTTATATAAATATGCAAATTACACAGAGCAGTGACATATAATATTCAGAGTCAAGAATGATCTAAGGGAAGAGGAACAACAGAAAACGTGAAAAGAATTCAAGACATGGCTCCTTCTTGGCCTGTGGCTCTACCTCGCCAGGATGACCAGCCACAGGAAGGAACACAGAGCAAACAAACTAAAAACAGAAAAGGATGAATAAATTCTGAAGTCTCTGGCTCCCTCCAGTCTTTTCTGTCATGCAATTTTATGGGTTAACTCCATCCACAGGCACTACAGCTCCCCTGGCTGGACACACAAGGTCAGTCTAAGAAGGTCTCCAGACACCTCTGTTTGGCTGGAACAGGTGTGGCCTGCCAAAGCTGATGGTTCATTTAAACTGAACAAACTTAAAAATAGTGTTAGTTGTTTTCTGACCCAAAATATCTAAATCAAGGCAGTTAAATGGTAATTCATAAAGTGGTTTAACAAAAGCGTGGCAGTAAGGAGATGAAACATGACTTTGTTTTGTTTTTCTTGAGTTCACAAAATGCTGAGGAAAAGGAATTCTGTGGGTACAGAGGTCCTGCCCAACCTTAGGTGGAATGTACTGGTACCTTCCTTCCACTCAACCTACGTCCAGTGATCTGGGGTAAGGGAAACATCTCTCTTTCCTCACCAGGCACTGACCCACCCCTTCCCACTCCTAATCACATTTTATCAGTTCAGAAATAAAAAAACCAGCTCTTTACAAATCCTTGACCAAAGATGAGTTCCACTCTATATGAAAGAGTAGCAAAGGCTTTATGACAAATTAGAAGGGTAGAGAAGAAAGGAGAAAGGTAGCTAGCCAATCTGAATTATACCCTCTGTGATCAGTGGAAAGCCTCTAATAGCCAGAATGACTATATGCCCATTCACCACTAATATCTCTAC